>NC_000020.11:66335-217850 GCF_000001405.40 Homo sapiens | reverse complement strand
CAGCAACCTGCTGGCTTTCTGTATCAAAACGTCTTGCTTCTGCCTCAAAATATTTAAAACAGAGTAAATTTAAAAGAGTATATATATATATATATACACACACACACACACACACACACACACACACACACACATATATATATATATACATATACATATTTAAGAGGCACTGTGTTGCTCAGGTTGGAGTGCAGTGGCTATTCACAGGTGTGAACACAGTGCAGTACAGCCTTGAACTCTTGGGCTTAAGTGATCCTCCTGACTCTGCCTCCCAAGTAGCTGGGATTACAGCTGTGCACCATGGCACCTAGCACTGGATAATCTTTTATGATATTTATAATATGCTGCTTCACAACAACTAAAGTAGCTAGGAAACCTGGCATAACGGTCTCTGTGTTACAGATAAGGAAAGTGAACAAAAGAATATAAATAGCTTTTTCAGGGCTGGGTGATTTCCCAGAATAAAACCCAGCTCACTCTTACCCCATATCACTCCATATCAAATGTTCTGAATATCATGATGCTTGTCCTCTGCAATGAGCTGTACTTCTGCTCTTTCCTCTCTATTCTCATGACTATACCCCAAACTCAACCTATGCTTTTAAACTTCATAGTTGTCCACGTGAGCTTTATTCAAAGACTGAAGACAGCAAGAACTCAATATTTGAAAATCCAGTGCCCTGGAACGAAGGGAATGTGGATGTGCGTGGCCCTTCCCCACATGCAACAGATAGGGAGCCCTTTTGAAATTCACAGGAGGTTTCTTCAGAACAAGTTAAAGACCTTCCGTTTTTTTAAAAGCAAGGGAAAATTCAACGAAGTAGGACCTTTGTTGTAATAAAAAGTAGAGATGGAAATAAAAATACAATAACATAGAGTTGGCTGATCTTTCATGATGGCTAAATCAAGGTGGTAAAGACAGGTTGAGACACCAGGACAGTTGCTGACATTAGAGGAGACTCTGTAGGAATAATACAGGTTTTATCACTTAAGAGGCCTTGTCTTTTCATGGATTCTCCAGGCCTGGTTTCCACTTTAATTTACTTTAACCTTAGAACAAAATCTACTCAAGGGATTCAATAAAATTAATAATTTTTATACTTTGTCAAGTATATTCTTAAAAGTGGCATTTTAAAAAATTACAAGTGCTTGGTGATAAAGAATCCAACTTCTAGTTACAGATTTGTGCCCCTGCTTTGATTTGTGGTAAGGCACTAGCTATTTTATCTGCATAAAATATATGGTATATCCAACTTGGATATTCCTGGGAGAGGCATAGTCTTGGCCTAGAGTTTATGACTCTGTGGAGATCTTGGCCTTCCCCCTGGGCTGGTAAGAATGTTGTGAGCTGGACCTCTTCCTCAGTTTCCCCTTCTATCATCAAGATTGGAGAATACCTGGGTCTATGGGGTTTCTTAACATGAGACTGGCAAAGACAGGGACAAGGAATTTTGTGGTTGGAGAGGCACCAGAGAGGAAGGAGCAGTTCTGTGCTGTGAGGCAAAGAACTTTTGCCCTTGTTGACTTTTCTGTGGGCCTGGTCAGTGAGCACAAGGTAGGAGTTGCTCATATTAGATGTTCTACAAGCAACCCTGTGTCATCAAAGTCTTTTCTGACTACTCCTGGGCTCCAAACTCCACACAACAAGCACCACTGATAGAGGGCTTAGACATGAAAGACAGGAAGAAAAAGACATATTCCCATTCTTGAAAAACATGTGATGCCAGGATTACTTACCCATTGCTGCATAATGAATTACCCCAAAATGTAGTGGCTTCAAAACAATCATCATTTGTTATTCTTTCATGGTCTCTATGGGTTAAAAATTAAGGCTTAGCAGAGATGGCTTGTCTCTGCATGGTAATGTCAGTGACGTCAGCTGGGAAGCCTCAAAGACTGGGGACTGGAATCATCTGGAGGCCCATTCACTTACATGTCTGGCAGTTGATGCTGACTGTGAGCTAGAGGCCTTGCTGTCTCCATGTGGCCTGAACTTCCTTCTAACATGGTGGCTGGAGACAGAGGGCCAGTCAGAAGCTGTTCTGCCTTGGAAATCACCTGATATTTCTTCCACTGCATTGTACTGGTCAGGTTGGTTACAAAGATCTTCCCAGGTTCAAGGAAAGGGAGCAGTGACTTCACTTCTTGTTGTCAGCCACACATTATAAGAATAGATTGGTAACTAATATTGCTAGCTATTTTCTTTGAAATGACAAGTTCACTTTGTTAATTTTTGAGAAAATTTCTGCCAAGTATGTAAGTCTGAATAACCATACTTTTTCCATCATTCTTTCAAATAAAAATGATGTTTCATAAAAAAGTGCCTAGTTCAGTTTAAAATCCAAATAGTTATTTAAGTGATTTTTCTGGCGACAACCATCATAGCTTGTTATACTGCAGAAGTGCTTTATATGTACTTTTCCTTGTATTACTCAGAACATAGTGTCAAAAGGTAAACTGAGGCATAATAAAAATTTTTAAAAGAGTTTATTTGAGCAAACAGCAATGCATGAATTGGGCAACTCCAAACCAGAAGTGGTTCGGGGTCTTCACTTAAGAAGTGGTAAGGAAGCTGGACATGGTGGCTCCTGCCAGTAATCCCAGCACCTTGGGAGGCCAAGGTGGGAGGATTGCTTGAGCCTAGGAGTTTGAAACCAGCCTGAGCAACATGGTGACACCCTTCTCTCTACCAAAAAAGAAAAAAAAGAAAAAAAAATTAGCCGGGCATGGGCGTAGTGGCGGGTGCCTGTAGTCCCAGCTACTCGGGAGGCTGAGGCAGGAGAATGGCATGAACCCAGGAGGTGGAGCTTGCAATGAGCCGAGATTGCGCCACTGCACTCCAGCCTGGGTGACAAAGCCAGACTCCATCTCAAAAAAAAAAAAAAAAATATTAGCCAGGCATGATGGTGGGTGCCTGTGGTCCCAGCTACTCAGAAGGCTGAGGTGGGAGGATTGCTTGAGCCCCGGAGTTCGAGGCTGCAATGAGCCATTACCATGCCGCTGCACTCCAGCCTGGGTGAAAGAGTGAGGCCCTGTCTCAAGAAAAAAAAAAAAGTGGTAAGGAACACGCTTTTATGCAGTAAGTGTGGAAATAATACAAATAAAATATTTGATTGGTTATAGTTACAAATTTTGTCTTATTTGGTCTATCCTGCTGGGAAGTACCTTCTTATATAATTACGAGTTAGTTAGCTGCTTTTGATTGGTTGAGATTAAGTTCTATTTTTCTTTAATATAGGCATTTACAAGAAATAGCTCCAATTAAGTTTTGCTTACGTTTGCAAATCAAGAAAAGTTATGAGCACTTAAGAGGCCTTGTCTGCTCATGGATTCTCCAGGCCTGGTTTCCACTTTAATTTACTTTAACCTTAGAACAAAATCTACTCAAGGGATTCAATAAAATTAAAAATTTTTATACTTTGTCAAGTATATTCTTAAGAGTGGCATTTAAAAAAATTACAAGTGCTTGGTGATAAAGAATCCAACTTCTAATTATAGACTTGTGCCCCTGCTTTGATTTGTGGTGAGGCACTAGCTATTTTATCTGCTTCAGTTTGCATTTTCAGAGCCAATGTCAATTTTGTGAAAAGGCAAAATATTATTATGAAACTAGTTATTTTAAAAATATTGTTATGAAAATAATTTTGACCTTGCAGACTCCTTCAAAGGGTTTTGGGGATACCTTGGCATATACAAACCACATGGAAGACCACTGGGTGAACACATTTAACTGATAGATATCTTGAGGAAATTTAGAGAGCTCTGAGAGGAGTTCCAAATAGAAGCTGAAAATAATGAGCAGAATTACCTTTTAGAGCTACCATTCTGGCTGAAATACAGAGGCTGCATCTGAGGGTGCATAGGAGCGGCAGTGGAACTGGAGAGAATGGAAGGGCTTTGAGTACAGAATACTCAGAACGATTGTGTGTAAAGCATGAGGGAGGGATCACAGAGGCGCTGTTCAACCTGCCTTTAATACTGTCTTTTCCATTTCCTCTCAGGCTAGCTCCTACTCACCTCTCATGACTCTGCTTAATTGCAGCTTTTAAGGGGAGTCTCTTTAATACCCTGGACTACTGTTGATCACTTAATTTTAACCTCCTATTTATTTTATTCCTTCACTGAGTATTTATTGAGCGTCTATTATGTGCCAGAAACTGTCTTAGGGGCCGGTAATAATCTATACCGCAGAAAGTCCCTGTCATCATGGAGCTTAACATTCAAGTGGGTTAAAATAATGAGTAAAAGCAGATATTGTTCTTGCCCTCATGGAGTTTTCCACTGAACGCTGCACACAGGGAACCAAGTGGCTGCTGCTGAGGGCTTTGTGAAAACTGGAGATCATGAATGCAGGTGCCACTAATCTGCGCAGCTGTGCACTTTTTCCAGCACTGCTCATCAGCCTGAATTTGTCTGTGGAGAAGACAAACAGTTAAAAGGATCTGGGGGTTGAACTTTTCACACAGGTGGGTGCAGAAATTCTTTAAAAAATTTTAAAAATGGTATTGGGATTTGAGGATGCTGGCAAGGGAGTACTTGGAGTGGTGAATCATGGGGTTGAGGCTAATAAAGAAAAGTGAAGGAGGCTTTGGGAGGCTGAGGCGGGTGGATCACAAAGTCAGGAGATCGAGACCATCCTGGCTAACACGGTGAATCCCCATCTCTACTAAAAATACAAAAAAATTAGCCAGACGTGGTGGTGGGCACCTGTAGTCCCAGCTACTTGGGAGACTGAGGCAGGAGAATGGCGTGAACCCGGGAGGTGGAGCTTGCAGTGAGCCGAGATCGAGCCACTGCACTCCAGCCTGGGCGACAGAGCAAGACTCCATCTCAAAAAAAAAAAAAAAAAAAAAAAATAGAAAAGTGAAGGAGGAAGCGTCTGGCGGATGCATGTTCTATAATAAAATGAGGGAGCTGAAAAGGTGCCTGGGTGTGATCAGAGAAGGTGGTAGGAGTTCAGAGTTCATGTGTGGAGTGGTCATTGATGATGACGTGGACAGCTCTATGGCCAGAAATCAGGAGTAGAATAGCAGGTAAATTATTGACATTAAGGAGGACAAATAACTGAACATTTGTAGAACTGGATAGTGTTTCCATATGGATGCTGAAGTCACCAATAATAAAGGCAATAATCAGAATAGATACATTCTAAACAAAGTGCCAAAGTCCTCAATAAATGGGGGGCTGCTTTTTAAAATATAACAATAAAGATGGTTGAAGAGGCATTGAAAAGAGCTGACTTGAGTCTTGACTAGTTGGGGATTTTACACTACAGAAGCAATGTTTTCAAAATAACATTGGGAAGGGAGGAAGCTGCCATACCAACCTTTTGGCCTTGAGTCATGAAAAGTGGGAAAATGAACAGCATCAGCTTGAGAGTACAAGTTGATGGTGAATCCATGAGGGAGAAACAGGATTAATTTAACACAGGGAGAAATGAAAAGTTAGATGAGGAGATTCTGGTTGTACAGGATTTAGTTACCTTCCAATGGGGTTTCAATTAGGGACAGTGGGAAAGTTTGGGAGGGAGGAAAGCAGTGGGAAATTCGTTTCTGTTGGCTGTAAGATTTCCATATATATTTGTTTTAGCACTTCCCAAGAGAATAAAAATTGTTGTGATAACTCCCTGTTACAGCTAATTTGAGTAGTTTTCCTTCCTGGCATTTAGAAAGACTCAGGCTCATCAAGGCCATGGGAAGGTACCTCCTTCTTTCTCTACCTACAGTTCCACCAAAACTCTTTATTTCTGCAGGTTGATAGACAAAATAAATTGATCGTCTCCTCTGTCTTCTACAGTGGACCAATGTTAGAGATTCCCTACCAGCATGTCTCAATTGGGTTTCTGCAAGCAAATTAAATCCTAACAACCAAACACATCCATTGTGTTTGGATTAACCTTTCTTCTAAGCACCTAGAATGGTATTCATATGTATCATCTTTGGAAGAATTGGGAAAATAGTCACCTAAGTCATTTTCTGTGTTCTGTGGTTCGAATGAGGAACACCAGTTGAGAAAGGCCCCTACAACACTGCTTCATCTAAAGAAGGCCAAGTCTATAGATGGTAAACTACAAGGTGGGATTGAGGGTGAGATTTAACATTCATAGATGGTCATACTTGCCCCCACCTGTCACTACCTAGCCTCAGCTTTATTTCTTTAAAGAAGGAAGCCACATCTTGATCTTTAGAGGTTTTATACACCAATGGAAACAATTGTGGGAGGGAAGGAAAGGAATACGATTTTGGTGTCAGGCAGAATGGATTCAATTTAGCTTACACTGCTGGTGCATTAATGATACCCCGGAAAAGTCACTTCATATCTTCTGGGCCTGAGTTTCCTAATTTCAGATTTGCTGGCAGTGACATCATGCCCAAAGTATTGTGCATCTTAAGTGTGATAATGTAAGTGGAAGTACTCAGCATGTGATGGGTGCCAACAGATTATTAGCTCACTTTCATCTGATGCCTCCTTGCCTCACTCCTTTGTTCCATCCCTTTCTCTCGTCCCTACTGTTAGAGTCTTAGTAGGATTACTGTTCCCTGAAACAAAGCAAAGATTGAAGGAATTGTCTTGGCAAAGGTAGGTTACAGGACGAGATGATAAAAGGCCCTCAGGAGGAGGGCTTAGCAGCAATGTCAGCTCCCCCTTTGGGTTATATGACTCTAGGCTGATTTCTGTGATCGAGGTAGCCTAGCGTGGAAAGTACAACAAATTCTTCAGGGGCCTCTAATAGCAACTGTGGCTGAACAGACCGATTGCACACTCCTTGTACCTGTGACTTATCTCTTCTAGTTCTATTAGAGGGTCCTTGCCCCAGGCACAGCATGTTCTGCAACCACTCTTGTCCACATTTCTGCCATGGTCCAGCGAGTAAAGCCTTAGGAGAGACTTCTTATCTCATCAGCTAAGATTGTGCAGCGTGCCTTATGCCTGTTACTGAGAAATATGCATAGGTAATTGTGAGGTGGGGCAAAGAATATGCTCCTCCAGGTCCCCAGAGGATGAAATATGTATAAGTGTCAGAAACAAGATAGATTAATTTATAAAGCTATGTACTAGCAGCATAAACAGTGAAATATAAGTGACAGTTGTATTTGGGGACAAAGAACAATGAAGTTTTTGCATTGCTACAGCAAATACAGTATAATACAATACATATTAGCACTTTAATTGTGTAATTCAAAATTGGTCAAAGCCCTGATTACCTAGTTGCACGATTACTTGTTCATATAGATACTTGAATTACTTTGATATAAAATGTCTATTCTTGGCCAGGTGCTGTGGCTCACCTCTGTAATTCTAGCACTTTGGGAAGCCAAGGTGGGAGGATCACTTGAGGCCAAGAGTTTGAGACCAGTCTGAGGAACATAGCAAGACTCTGCCTCTAGAAAAAACTAGCCAGGCATAGTGATGCGCACCTGTAGTCCCAGCTACTCAAGAGACTGAGGCAGGAGGATCGCTTGAGCTCAGGAGGTCGGGGCTGCAGTTAGCTATGATTGTACCATTGCACTCCAGCCTGGGCAACAGAGTCAGACCGTGTGTCTTAAAAAAATGATTAAAATGAAAGGTCTTTTGTTGTTGAATGCTTGGATATATGCAACAGAAATTGCTGTGTTTTCTTTTTTGATGATTGCTATTTGTGTAACAAAATGGTTTTTACTGTCATACAGATAGTCCCCTATTTATGATGGTTGACATGATTTCTTGACTCTACGATGGTGTGAAAGCCATATGCATTCAGTAGAAACCATACTTCAAGTACCCATACAACCATTCCATCTTTCACTTTCAATACAGTATTCAATAAATTACAGGAAATATTCAACCCTTTATTATAAAATAGTCTTTTTATTAGATGATTTTGCCCAACTATGTGCTCAAATAAATATTCTGAGCACATTTAAGGCAGGCTTGGCTAAGCTATGATGTTAGGTAGGTTAGTTGTATTAAATGAAGTTTTGACGTATGATATTTTCAATTTATGGTGAGTTTATTGGGACATAACTCCCTCATAAATTGAGGAGTATCTCTTTATCTTTTGGTGCCTGTGTCCTTCTGTAACAGACATTTGACCTTTATCTGCTCAGCACCTTTTAACGTCCTCCCCTATGTTTGTAGAATTCTACGTCTCTGTCAGAGAAGACCAACTTTCCTCTTACATGCATGCCCCCCTTCTATAATATATAATGGTCACTGGGAAGTGGTTGCCAATGTCTCATTCCCCTTGCATCTGTGTGGTCATGTGATTTGCTCTTGGCAATGGAATGTGAAGTGATGGGTGTCACTTCTGGGATTAGGCTTTTAAGACTGAAATATGATTTCTTCTGTCTTCATACATTTGTACCAAAAGTCTGGAACTCATTGATTTGTTTATGAGAGAAATATAAGGCAAATGTATGAAGCCCTTAAATGATGGGGTTAACAGGGCTCCTTATAGAGGGAGATGTGGATCCAGGGAGAGAGGCTTACTGATGTATATGATGGTGGCCTCTACAAGTGAGATTCTGGCAATGTCTCTCTGCAATGTGGCTAGCGTAAGCCTGGTTCCTGTGTTGCTGCATATCATAATTCCACTTGTTAGGACAGATCAGCAGAGGGTCTCGTGCTTGGTAATGGACTGTCACGCCACCCTTTATAGGAACATAATGCTTTACAATAATCTAACATCACATGGAGTAGCATGTGAATGTCCTGCTAGTGAGCACCCTCTAGAGGAGTTACAGGATATTTTGCAGGCCTATTCATCACCATTTCTTGTAGGATGAGTAACCAGTCTTCTATTTACTGTTGATCTCATTTTCCTAAGTGTTATGGACAGCGTGTTTGACCTTCACGTTCTTACTGCATACTTCTAAGTTAGTTTAGTTTTTATATAAAATCATATAGTATTTTGCCATTTTAAAACCAAAATAGACTATACATAAAACTATAAAAAATAATCATTCTGGTTGTTGGGGTACAAGATTGGTGAGCCATCATGCCCGGCCCCTAAATATTTCATTTTTGATGCTATTATGGAAAGGGTAGTTTTTGTCAAAATTTCTTTTTCTAATTTTTTGCTAAAATATGCACATATATATTTTTGTATACAGACTTTCATTCAAAACTTTGCTAAATTCATTTATTAGATGTAATAGCTTTTCCAAGGATTCTTTAGGGTTTCCTATGTACATGATCATGTTATCTGCAAAAAAGGAAAGTTTTACTAATTGAGCTCATGAAGACGGAAAGTAGAATGATGATGATCAGAGTCTGGGAAGGGTAGTAGGGGGGTCTGGGAGGAGGGGATGGTCAATGGGTATGAAAATATAGTAAGACAGAATGAATAAAATGTAGTATTCAATAGCACAACAGGGTGACTACAGTCAAAATTAATTTATTCTACATTTAAATATAACTAAAAGAGTATAATTAGAATGTTGATAACACAAAGAAAAGATAAATGTTTGAGGTGATGGATACCCCATTTACCCTAATATGATTATTACACATTGTATGCCTGTATCAAAATAACTTTGTACCCCATAAATGTATACATCTACTATGTACCTATAAAAATTAAAAACTAAAAATAGAATCTGCTGTATCTTCCTTTTCTAAATGCATGCATTTTATTCCTATTTCTAGCCTTTTTGGAGTAGCTAAGACCTTCAGTATGACGTTAAGTAAAAGTGGTTGTGGTCAACTTACCATTTGTTCCTAATTAAAGTAGAAAGACATGAGCCTTCTAAGTTAAAGGTGATGTTATCTGTAGTTACTTTTTTGTAGCTAGCATTATTCAGCTTGAAGTTACCATCTCTCCTAGTTTGATGAGTTTTTTTTAAAGGGCTTTGAATTTTGTCAAATGCTTTTCTTGCATTTATTGAAATAATCATATGTTTTTCCCCTTTAGTCCATCAATATGGTGAATTACGTTGATTCATTTTTTGATGTTACATCAACTTTGCATTCTGGGGATAAACATCATATTGTCCTGTTCTATGATCCTTTCTATTCTTCACCGCATTCAATTTGCTAATATTTTATTATAGATTTCTGAAATTATGTTCATGAGGATATTGGCTCATAGTTCTCTTTTCTTGTGATATCTTTGCATATTTTTGGAACCAAGGTAATATTGGCCTCGAAGAATGATTTGAGAAGTGTCTCCTCCTTTATTTTCTGAAAGAGTTAGTGTAGAATTGCCATTATTATTTCTTGGTATACTTCACCAGTGAAGCCATCAAGGCATGAAAGTTTCTTTGTGAGAAGACTAAACTATGGATTCAATTTCTCCAATTGATACAGCATCGTTTAAACTTTATGTTTCCTCTTAGGTCAGTTTTGGTAATTTGTATCTTTTAAGAAACTTATCCATTTCATATAGGTTGTCAAAAATTTTGGCATATAGAATCATCTCTCACAAAACTTTTAATGTAATGATGTCCTCTTTTTATACCTGATATTGAAAATTTGGTAATTGTCTCTTTTTTCTTGATCAACTGGCTAGAGTTTTATCAATTTTATTTATTTATTTAAATAATAAACTTTGGACTTAACAGCCATGTAGATATGATATGGAAAGAGAAATGAACTTGAAGACAGACCAATAGAAATTTTCCAAGGTCATTTCTATTAAGAAAAGAGAGAAAAAGTTTTTTTTTTTTTTAATTAATGAAGCTCATGTCACCATGGGGTGGTGGCACACACCTAGGTGGGAGAGAAGGCAGGCAAAGATTAATGACTACTGCTCCAGAGAACAGCCACGCAGGACGGAATCACAGTAGGCCATGTTTATCTTTAGGGTCCAAAATAGAATGACATTTAAACCAACTAGCTCTGGGCATGGTGCCCATCATAGACCCTTATATGATTTTCTATTCAAGTTATGCCAGAAGCAGAGTCAATCTGAAGCATCCAAGACTCTTTGAGCTTAATTTTTGTTAAAAAAATAATTTTAATCTTTTCAATCCTTAGTTCATATTGGAGACCTGTTTTGACCACCTCGAAGGCCAAAGTGCTGAAACCAGATTCACTAATTATGAATTAACCACTTATTTCTCATTATTAACATATGGCCTTTCTGTTTTATCTTCTGTAATACTGACCTCTAACAATTTTCATCAACGAAGACTGGACGTATCGGGCATACATAGGTGGCCCTGAACACACACATACACACCTGGAGGAAGTTCTCATTTTAGCATGCTATGGCATTCTGGATTGAGGCCATAGGGTCTCCTTCTTCAGTTTTAGATCTACCAATCGTGGCATTATTTACTTATCAAAAAATAATAAAAACAACAAAAAAACAGGGTTCATTATGATTTTAGAAAATAACCTGAAACACACTGTAGCAGGAAGACAAAACCATTACATTATTCATTTCAAATACTTTAATCTTTTGATGGCTCTGGACAAAAAGAAGGGCAATAGTCAAATGGCATACTTAAAGCGAGTACAGTTACATCTTCAGTAATTAAGCAAATATAATTATGAACCAATAGTAATTCTCATCCTAGCCATTTTATGCCTTTAGATAGTGTTTTACAATTGTTATACAAATAAAAAAATGGGGGCCCAAATGTACATTTCATAAAACATAAGACACATTCTTTGTACACTTTGGGTTTCAGAAATGCAGTAGAATGGGAAAGAGCAAATTGCAACTCCAATTGGGTCTTTTTTTTTTTTTTAACTTTTGTTTTAGGTTTGGGAGGACATAAGAAGGTTGGTTACATAGGAAAACTTGTGTCACAGAGGTTTGTTGTCTTTTCTGCTCCTCTCCCTCCTCCCGCCCTCCACCCTCAAGGATACCCCAGTGTCTCTTGTTCCCGTCTTTGTGTTCACGAGTTCTCATCATTTAGCTCTCATTTATAAGTGACAGCATGTGGTATTTGGCTTTCTGTTCCTGCGTTAGTTTGCTAAGGATAATGGTCTGCAGTTCCATCCATATTCCCACAAAAGATGCGATCTTGTTCTTTTTTATGGCTACACAGTATTCCATGGTGTATACATACCACATTTTCTTTATCCAACCTGTCATTGATGGTTATTTAGGTTGATTCCTTGTCTTTGCTATTGTGAATAGTACTGCAATGAACATTTTCAGGTGTGTGTCTTTATAATACAATGATTTATATTCCTCTGGATATATACCCACTAATGGGTCCTTTAATATTAAACTAATAAAACTAGTTTGTAAGACAATTTATGGATTAAAAGCAGATTCTCTTAAAGGGAATATCATATTTCTGAATCTATATCAACCTTCTGAAACGAGTGCTTACAATGTTTTGCTGCTATACTATTGTTTGCCTATTTTCCTCTGGGTCATTTGTCATTTTCTTATTGATTTGTAGTTATTCTTCATATAGATTATGGATAGCAATCTTTTTGTGGTATCATGCACATAGAATTTTTGTTCTACTCTGATTGTCTTTTAACCTTGTGCTGACTTGTACCTTCTCCTGCATGCTTTTTGTTATGAAGAGGTTGTGCATTTTAGTCAAGTTTGTCACTCATCATTTTAAATAATTATCTTCTGTCCTTGATATTAGCTTCTTTTCCTTTAAGTTCATTCATTCCTATTGTTCATCTAAATTTTTTTAATGTTAATTTTCCTGAAATTGACTGTTGATATATTTAGGCTTAAAAGTAGATTACTAGGGACAGGTGACATAGGTTCCTCTGAACTGGTGTATGTCTATTTTGTCAACAGGTCTCTTTCTTGAGGTTAATGGATGAGTGCAGACTTTTGTGTGTGCCTGAGTGTGCATGTATCAGGGAGTGTCAACTGGAAGACTGTTTTTAACTGAGTGGATGAAAAGCAAGCAAGCTCACTTTGCTTTATCTTATCTCCTACCCAGTTGTGAAAAGAAATTACTTTGAGGAAGCATATTTAGAAGTGAACATCAAAGTGTTAACAGAGAGCTGAAATAATGAGTGGCTTCTGTTGTATTCTTTTTGCTTATCTTTGTGTCTGATTTTTATAGCATAAAATGCTAGTTAACCTTCCTCTCACCTCTAAACAAAGAATGGCAAGGGAATCTTGCTTTGACTCACCCATCAAGTCTTCGTGCAAGGGAATTTGCAATCCCATTTCTTGCCTGGATTCAGCCCGTCCAGCAGTTTGGAAAGATAACATCTTAAGTAGAATTCAGAGAACATTTCTCAGAAATGAAACATACTTAAAGTCTATTTATAAGTAAGATATTAAAAGCAATTTGTACTATTGATCACAGCTGGAGGTACAGTAACAAATGTTGATAGGTGATTTTATTTTTAACTGACCACATCTAAAAAGCAACATTTCATTATCTGTTCCAGCCTACTCAAGAGGAACTCTATTGCTTAGCCATGAAGGGCTTTGAAAATGAGGAGATTGTGTGCTTCTTGTGCCCAATCCAAGATTGCATAAAGGCTGCTTGACATTAAAGAATTGACGCCTCCAGCTTTTTTCTTTTGGCTTAGGATTGACTTGGCGATGCGGGCTCTTTTTTGGTTCCATATGAACTTTAAAGTAGTTTTTTCCAATTCTGTGAAGAAAGTCATTGCTAGCTTGATGGGGATGGCATTGAATCTATAAATTACCTTGGGCAGTATGGCCATTTTCACGATATTGATTCTTCCTATCCATGAGCATGGAACGTTCTTCCATTTGTTTGTGTCCTCTTTTATTTCGTTGAGCAGTGGTTTGTAGTTCTCCTTGAAGAGGTCCTTCATATCCCTTGTAAGTTGAATTCCTAGGTATTTTATTCTCTTTGAAGCAATTGTGAATGAGAGTTCACTCATGATTTGGCTCTCTGTTTGTTACTGGTATATAGGAATGCTTGTGATTTTTGCACATTGATTTTGTTTCCTGAGACTTTGCTGAAGTTGGTTAGCTTAAGGAGGTTTTGGGCTGAGATGATGGGGTTTTCTAAATATACAATCATGTCATCTGCAAACAGGGACAATTTGACTTCCTCGAACCAACCCAAATGTCCATCAATGATAGACTGGATTAAGAAAATGTAGCACATATACACTATGGAATACTATGCAACCATAAAAAAGGATGAGTTCATGTCCTTTGTAGGGACATGGATGACGCTGGAAACCATCATTCTGAGCAAATTATCGCAAGGACAGAAAACCAAACACTGCATGTTCTCACTCATAGGTGGGAATTAAACAATGAAAACACTTGGACACAGGTGGGGAACATCACACACCGGGACCTGTTGTGGGGTGGTGGGAGGGGGGAGGGATAACATTAGGAGAAATACTTAATGTAAACGATGAGTTAACGGGTGCAGCACACCAACATGGCACATGCATACCTATGTAACAAACCTGCACTTTGTGCACATGTACCCTAGAACTTAAAGTATAATAATAAAAGAAAAAGAATTGACACAGAGGAACAAAAAGACTTAGGAATATACTGAAATGGGCAATCAATATTTCTTCCAGGATGTAATAATGTCATCTTCAGAAATAAGAAATATGAATTCTCTTAAAACAGGCTGCCCTGTAAGTGATGAATAGAGTATAAAGGAGTAGGTCATGGAAGAATGTCCAGCCAAGCACATGGCCAATACATTTTTTGAATAAAGCAACATCTTTTATTTGAATACTTTGTCTTCAGTCTCCCTAGAATTGACCCATGGAAGGCAGCTGGAGAGGCAGCTTAGCATAGTGGCTAAGGCCTTTAATTTTAGGTTCATGCAGACCTGTGTTGATCCCAGTTAATTCCTTATTGGCTGTGTGACATTGGGCACATTATTAGCTCCCTAAATTGTAGTTTTCCAGTTTTAAAAATTGAGGTATATTAATTTCTGCTTCATAGTGTTCTTGTGATGATTAAAGTAAGCAATGCATTTGAAATGCATTTGTCATCTACTTGGCATCTGGTAAGAGGTCATGGAGCTGGGATTCTGGTAGGCCACTGATCAATTCTCATGCCTCATCTTGATGTATCAGCAGCATTTGGTGCTTTATCCTCCTTGATGAACTTAATTTAATTAAGCTCCCAGAGCATCATGTTCTCTTGGTTTTCCTCCGACCTCACTGGAATGAACCTTCTCAGTGTCCTTTGCTGCTTCTTATTCATCAACATTGGGGAGTTCTAGGTCTCAGGCATTAGGCTCTTTTCTGCAGTCATAGCCTTGACAATCCCATTCAGTCTCATGGCTTAAAAATCTCTCCTGTTTACAAGACAATTCCACTTAGATGTCTATAGCACTCCAAAGCAAACGTATCCCAAACAAAGGTTTTTATCCTCCCTCAAGCAAAAAGACCAATCTGAACTTTCTCCTGTTATATCCATCTCTGTCAGTGACAACTTCATTCTTTCAGTTACTCAGACTAAAACTGTGATGTTATCTTGACTTCTTCCTTTCTCTTCAATCTACGAGTGACTGTATTTTCAATAGGTATGTAAGAGTCTGACCATTTCCCACCCTCTTCTCTGATGCTCTCTATCTAAGCCCTATTAGCTGTCACTTAGATTTTGTAATGCCCATGCAACAGGTTTTCCACTTTTATACTTTCCCTCCCTCTCAATCTGTTTTGACCACAGAAGCCAGAGGCATCTTTTGAAAATACATCAGATCATGTCAGCACTGTCCAATAACCTCCATCTTAGAGGAAAAGTCTAATTCTTTATTGTAACCCCAAATGTGCACCCCCATTACTTTTCTGATATAATCCCCTTTTTCTCTTTCCTCATTGCTTCACATTATCCATGTGGTCTTCTTGCTACTTCTTGAACACACTGGGCATGGTCCCACCTCAGGGCCTTTGCACTTGCTCTTCTCATTGCCTGACACTCTCTTGCCCCAGATAACTTTTACATCCTTCCTGAAATGTCACTGCCTCAAGGAGTCTTTTCACAGATACCTCATTTAAAACTGTACTCTTTTTTGCTCAGCACTTTTTTTTTTTT
Organism: Homo sapiens; assembly: GCF_000001405.40. Classification (NCBI taxonomy): domain Eukaryota; kingdom Metazoa; phylum Chordata; class Mammalia; order Primates; family Hominidae; genus Homo; species Homo sapiens. The sequence goes on along the minus strand of NC_000020.11, from coordinate 201,940 downwards.
TTTTTTTTGAGATGGAGTCTCCCTCTTTTGCCTAGGCTGGAGTGCAATGGCATGATCTTGGCTCACTGCAACTTCCACCTCTGGGTTCAAGTGATTCTTCCACCTCAGCCTCCTGTGTAGCCAGGATTACAGGGACCCGCCATCATTCCTGGATAATTTTTGTATTTTGTTTCGCCATGTTGGCCAGGCTGGCCTTGGACTACTGACCTCAGGTGATCCGCCCGCCTCAGCCTCCCAAAGTGCTGGGATTACAGGTGTGAGCCACCGTGCCTGGCCTTGTCATCTTCTTTCTATATCTTCTTTTGCTCCAGAGCCCTGTCACCATCTGACATACTATATATTTATTCATATGATTTTTTATCTGCTTCCCACTTTTGAATGTATGCTCCATGAATGCATGTCTAATTTTCAGGACCTGAAAGAGTTCCTGGAACATACTAGACTCCCAAAAATTATTTATGGAAAAAGGAGGCAGAGCAAGATGCCTGAATGGAAGGCTCCGCTGATCGTCCTCCCTCCCCTATGCAAAGGCACCAATTTAACAACTATCTACACAAAAAACACCTTCATAAGAATAAGAATCATAGCACTTGATTTTAGTTCCTACCACTGAATGAGGCACTGAAGAAATAGAAAACACAGTCCTCAATCACAGCTGCCACCCTGCACTCCCCACTCCCACTGCCCTGTCGGTAGCAGCATGCAAAGATAATCTCTGGGTGCTGGAGGAGGGATGGAAAACTCGGCAATTGTGAGGCAGTGAACTCAGTGCTGCCCAGTTAGAGCAGAAAGGAAAACTGGACCAAATGCAGCTGAGGCCCACCCACAGAGGAAGCATTTAAACCAGCCCTAACCAGAGGGGAATTGCTGATCTCAGTGGTCGGAACTTGAATACATGCAAAGCTTTCCACTGTGGGCTTTGGGTCTCTAAGCAAACTTGAAAGGCAGTCTAAACCCCAAGGACTGCAACTCTTAGGCAAGTCCTAGTGCTGAACTGGGCCTAGAGACAGTGGACTGGGGGGCACATGACCTACTAAAACAGTAGCTAGGGCAGCTAAGGGAGTTCTAACATCATCCTCCCCTAACCCCAGGCTGCGCAACTCATAGCTCCAAAAGAGACCATTTCCTTCCACTTGAGGAGAAGAGAGAGAAGAGTAGGAAGAACATTGTCTTGCATCTTGGATACCAGCTCAGCCACAGCAGGATCAGGCACCAGATAGTTGACAGACCCTCTTCCAGGACGTAGCTCCTGAAAAACATCTCTAGACACACCCTGGGCCAGAAGGGAACCCACTGCCTTGAAGGGAAGGACCCAGTCCTGGCAGCATTAATCACCTGCTAACTAAAGAGCCCTTGTGCCCTGAATAACCAGCAGTGATAACCAGGTTCCACACTGATGGCCTTGGGTGAACCCATGAGACTTTCTGGCTTCAGGTGACACTCAACACATCCCCATCTGTGGTGGCTATAGGGCAGAACTCCTTCTGCTTGAGAAAAGCAGAGAAAAAATGAAGGGAACTTTGTCTTACACCTTAGGTACCAGCTTGGCCACAAGGAGGTAGAGCATCAGGTGGGCTCTTGGGGTCCTCGATTCTAGGACTTGACTCTTGAATATTTCTGGACCTGTCATGGGCCAGAGGGGAGCCTACCTTCTTGAAGGATTAGTCCCAGGCCAGGCAGCATTCACCACAAGCTGACGTAAGAACCCTTGGGGCTTAAAGGGAACATCAGCAGTAGCCTGGCAGTATTCCTTGTGGCCTGTGGTTTTGGTGGCCACGAAGTAAGGCTCCTCTGCTTTTGGAAAGGAGAGGGAAGAGTGGGGAGGACTGAGTCTTGTGGTTTGAGTACAAGCTCAGCTGCAGTACAATAGAACACCAGGTAGATTTCTAAGGTTTGTTACTCTAGTCTCGGAGTCCCCATGGGAACCTCTGTATCCATCCTGGGCCTGGGGTACCTTTATGATCTGAAAGGAAGGACACAGTCCTGGCTGGCTTCGCCACTTGCTGATTGTAGAGCCTCAGGGCCTTGAGAAGTAGCCAGGGAGTGGTTGCAGCAGGCCTTGGGTGAGACCTAGGGCTGTGCTGGCTTCAGGTCTGACCCAGTGCAGTCATAGTGTTGGTGGCCACAGGGATGCTTATGTCACTCCATCCTCAGCTTTAGGTAGCTCAGAAAAGAGAGAGAGAGAGAGAGACTGACTCCGTTTGTTTGGGAGAAAGCAAGGGAAGAGAACAAGAACCTCTGCCTGGTAATCCAGAGAATTTTCTCAGATCTTGTCTAAGACCATCAAGGTGGTATCTCTAAGAGTCTGCAAGAACCACAGTATTACTGGGTTTGGGGTACCCCCTAAAGCAGATATAGCTTAGATCACAACACTCAAGACCTTTTGAATATTCGGAAAGACTTCCCAAGAAGGACAGGTACAAACAAGCTCAGACAGTGAAGGCTGCAATAAATACCCTACTCTTCAATGCCCAGACACTGAAGAACATCTACTAGCATCAACACCATCCAGGAAAATATGACCTCACCAAATGGACTAAATAAGGCAGGAGGGGCCATTCCAGAGAGACAGAGATATGTGACTTTTCTGACAGATAATTCACAATAGCTGTGTTGAGGAAACTCAAAGAAATTTACTTTGAGGTGGTGGGCACCTGTAATCCCAGGTATTTGGGAGGCTGAGGCAGGAGAATTGCTTGAATCCAGGAGGTGGAGGTTGCAGTTAGCCAAGATCATGCCATTGCATTCCAGGCTGGGCAACAAGAGCAAAACTCTGTCAAAAAAAAAAAAAAAAAAAAAAAGGCAAAGATCATGAACAGACACTTTTTTTTTTCACTTTTATTTTAAGATCAAAGGTTATGTGTGCAGGGGGTACAGGTTTGTTACATAGGTAAATGTGTGACATGGGGGTTGGTTGTACAGGTTATTTCATCACTCAGATTTATTATTATTATTATTTTTTGAGACAGAGTCTTGTTCTGTCACCCAGGCTGGAGTGCAGTGGCGCCATCTTGGCTCATGGCAAATTCCACCTCCCTGGTTTAAGTGATTCTTGTGCCTCAGCCTCCCGAGAAGCTGGGATTACAGGCACATGCCACCACACTTGGCTAATTTTTGTATTTTTAGTAGAGATGAGGTTTCACCATATTGGCCAGGCTGGTCTCGAACTCCTGACCTCAAGCGATCTGCCTGCTTCAGCCTTCCAAAGTTCTGGGATTACAGGCATGAGCCACTGTGCCCGCCCCTCATCACCCAGATATTAAGCCTAGTGTCTATTAGTTATTTTTTCTGCTTCTCTCCCTCCCCCCACCCTCCACCCTCCAAGAGGCCCCAGTGTGTGGTTTTTCCCCTCTGTGTTTCTGTGTGTTCCCATAAGTTAGCTCCCACTTGTAAATGAGAACATGTGGTATTTGGTTTTCTATTCCTGTGCTAGTTTGCTAAGGATAATAGCTTCCAGCTCCATTCATGTCCCTGCAAAGGACGTGATCTCATTCTTTTTTGTGGCTGCATAGTATTCCATGACATATATTTACCACATTTTCTTTATCCAGTCTATTATTGACAGGCACTTGAATTGATTCCAAGTCTTTGTTATTGTAAATAATGCTGCAATGAACATGGGCATGTATGTGTCTTTATAATGGAATGATTTATATTCTTTTGGGTATAGACCCAGTAATGGGATTGCTGGGTCAAATGGTAGTTCTGTCTTTAGGTCTTTAGGAGTTTCCACACTGTCTTCCACAATGATTGAACTAATTTACACCAATAGTGTATAAGCATTCCTTTTTTCTTCACAACCTTGCCAGCATCTGTTATTTTTATTTATTTATTTTTTTGAGATGGGAGTTTCGCTCTTGTTGCCCAGGCTGGAGTGCAATGGTGCAGCCTTGGCTCACTGCAACCTCCGCCTCCTGGGTTCCAGTGATTCTCCTGCCTCAGCCTCCTAAGTAGCTGGGATTACAGGTGCCCACCACCATGACTGATTAATTTTTGTATTTTTAGTAGAGACGGGGTCTCGCCATGTTGGCCAGGCTGGTATCAAACTCCTGACCTCAGGTCATCTGCCTGCCTAGGCCTCCCAAAGTGGTGGGATTACAGGTGTTAGCCACTGTACCTGGCCAGCATCTGTTATTTTTGACTTTTTGGTAATAGCCATTCTGACTGGTGGGAGATGGTATCTCATTGTGGTTTTAATTCACATTTCTCTAATGGTCAGTGATGTTGAGCTTTTTTTCATATGACTGTTGGCTGCATGTATGTCTTTTTTTGAGAAGTGTCCGTTCATGTTTTCTTTGCCTACTTTTTAATGGGGTTGTTTGTTTTTATTGTAAATTTGTTTAAGTTCCTTATAGATGCTGGATATTAGTTAGACCTTTGTTGGATGCATAATTTGCAAAAATTTTCTCCCATCCTGTAGGTTGTCTGTTTACTCTGTTGATAGTTTCTTTTGCTGTGCAAAAGCTCTTTAGTTTAATTAGATCCCATTTGTCCATTTTTGCTTTTGTTGCAATTGCTTTTGGCATCTTTACCCTAAAATCTTCGCCCGTGCCTGTGTCCTGAATGGTATTATCTAGGTTGTCTTCCAGGTTTTTTATACTTTTGGGTTTTACATTTAAGTCTTTAATCCATCTCGAGTTAATTTTTGTATTATATGGTGTAATGAAGGGGTCCAGTTTCAATTTTCTGCACATGGCTAGGCAACTTCTTAATCTGATAAACAACTTCAGCAAAGTCGCAGGATACAAAATCAATGTGCAAAAATCACTAGCATTCTTATACACCTATAACCTTCAACACAAGAGCCAAATCATGAAGGAACTCCCAGTCACAATTGCCACAAAAAGAATAAAATACATAGGAATACAGCTTACAAGGGAAGTGAAAGATTTCTACCTACAAGGGGAACTAAAAAGTGCTGCTCAAAGAAACCAGAGATGACACAAACAAATGAAAAAACATTCCATGCTCATTGGTAGGAAGAATCAATATCACTAAAATGGCCATACTGCCCAAAGCAATTTATAGACTCAATGCTATTCCCATTTAACTACCACTGACATTCTTTGCAGAAGTAGAAAAATCTATGTTAAAATTTATATGGAACCAAAAAGGAGCCTGAATAACCAAGGCAATTCTAAGCAAAAAGAACAAAGTTGGAGACACCACACTACCCAACTTCAAACTGTACTACAGGGCCACAGTAACCAAAACAGCATGACACTGGTACAAGAACAGACACATAGATCAGTGGAACAGAATAGAGATCCCAGAAATAAGACTGTACACCTACAACTATGTGATCTTTGACAAACCTGACAAAAACAAGCAATGGGGAACGCTTTTCAAAACAAGATATATACTCGGCTAAGAAGCATTTGAAAGAAAAAAAAAGATCAACATCACTTATCATTAGAGAAATGCAAATCAAAACCACAATGAGATACTATCTCACACCAGTCAGAATAGCTATTATTAAAAAGTGAAAAAATAACAGATGCTGGCGAGGTTGTGGAGAAAAGGGAATGCTTTTAGACTGCTGGTGGGAGTGTAAATTAGTTCAGCCATTGTGGAAAACAGTTTGGCAATTTCTCAAAGAACTTAAAACAGAATTACCATACGACCCAGCAATTCCATTATTGGGTATATAGCCAAAGGAATATAAATCATTCCACCATAAAGACACATGCACGTGTATGTTCATTGCAGCACTATTCACAATGGCAAAGACACGGAATCAACCTAAATGCCCATCAATGGTACACTGGATAAATAAAATATGGTACATATACACCATCGAATACTACACAGCCATAAAAAATGAAATCATGTTTTTTGCAGGGACATGGATGGAGCTGGAGGCCTGTATCCCAAGTGAGTTAACACAGGAACAGAAAACCAAATACCACGTGTTCTCACTTATAATGGGAGCTAAACATTGAGTCCACCTGGACACAAAAAAGGAAACAAACACCGGGGCCTACTTGAGGTAGGAGGAGGGTGGGAATCAACAAACTACCTATCAGGTACTATGCTTATTACCTGGGTGATGAAATAACCTGTACACCAAATCCCTGTGACATACAATTTACCTATGTGACTAACCTGCACATGTTCTCCTGAACCTAAAATAAAAGCTAAAAAAATTCATACACAGACACACACACACACACACACACACACACACACACACACGAATGGGATTAGTGTTACAAATACAAATGGAAAGAGCTGTGGGGGTTCAAAATAGTAATTAATCAAGTCTATCAGAGGAGTTAGGAAGACATCACAGAGGAGGTCTTATTTTTATCTGAGCCTTAAAAGACAAGAAGGATTTTCTGGGAGGTTTTGAGATTTGGAAAGAAACAATGCAGAATTTGAGGAAAAACATCAGCAGGACTGGTGCTGACAAATACACCTTTGTATCCTGGGTGAAATATGCTACTGGAGTTCTGCTAGAGTGTATCTATCAGACGTAGGAAAAAATGTTGTAGAAGATGGACATCTACTTGGAGAGGAAATTCCCTCTTATTTGATGGTCTTGAACATGGAGGCAGTGGGAGTGGGGTTGAGAAGCTTCCAGAGCACCATACTTGGCTGAAGTAAAGGTTTAGAACAGTCAAATATCTCATCTTTCTTGATTCTAGTTAGAAAAAGCTAAAAGAAATCCCATACACTAATCTGGAGTCCAACTTCTTAGTTCTTATTGTGCACTAAGGTGGCAAACGATTTCCTGCATAGCTGGACTTATATTCATCTAATCCTTGGGTTATCTCTGTTTAATTTATTTAGAAATGGAACCAACTCCCTTACAGCAATGAGTAAAATTGAATTACAGAACAAGGGAGCAGTTGGCTGTCCTCCAAAATTGTAGCTTTGATGGTGGTCTTTAAACCCACAGGTGATTCAGTTAGCACTTTTCTTCTTGTATTTATTAACAGGAACTTAATACCTGTTTTTTGAATAAGTATTTCCTTGATCCACAGACCCTCAGCAAGAAAGACTTAGAAAATTAAAACAAAAACAAAAACAAAAAAACAAGCCAGGCGTGGTGGCTCATGCCTGTAATCCCAGCACTTTGGGAGGTTGAGGTGGGTGGATCTCCTGAGGTCAGGAGTTCAAGACCAGACTGGCCAACGTGGTGAAACCCCATCTCTACTAAAAATACAAAAATTAGCTGGGCATGATGGTGCACGCCTGTAATCCCAGCCACTGCACCTAGCCCTTAATAAATATTCACACATCTGATCTTCGTGCGGCTAAATTTCCTGCACCCATTAACTTAGCTGTCTTCATATGATAAATATGATTTGATGAGATTCTGTAAGCCTCACCAATCTTTATTTTCTGTGCCACTCCAGGATTACAAGGTATACAGCTACTAACTGAGGGGGATAAGGGCTCTGGTTACTGGTATCCATAGTAAGCTATATACAATACTAATTCCTAACCTTACTCTTTCCCTGACTATGTTGTGATAAGAGTTTAATCATCAACGGCTACTTCTACAGCTTTCAGAAATTCCAACATTCTTCCAGATACTGTCACAGAAAGATATTTGGATTAGATGGGACCTCATTACTATAATTAGGTGCCTAGAAATTGCAAAAAGTGGTAAACAGCATTTTTAAAGGAAATGCCATAATTAACTTTATTGCTGTGTTGGAGTATTTTATCTAGCAGTAATTTGTTCAGTACTTTTCAGCCATTCAGTGATTATGTATTGAGCATATAGCATGAATTTTGTGCTATGAGTTAAGAACTCCTAGTCGAGGAGGCTTTGGAAAAGGGAAAAACTGGGCAAATCGAATGCCTAATAGGGCTTGCTTCCAGTGCGGTCTACAAGGACACTTTAAAAAAGATTGTCCAAGTAGAAATAAGCCACCCTCTCATCCATGCCCCTTATGTCAAGGGAATCACTGGAAGGCCCACTGCCCCAGGGGACGAAGGTCCTCTGAGTCAGAAGCCACTAACCAGATGATCCAGCAGAAGGACTGAGGGTGCCCAGGGCAAGCTCCAGCCCATGCCATCACCCTCACAGAGTCCCGGGTATGCTTGACCATTGAGAGCCAGGAGGCTAACTGTCTCCTGGACACTGGCGCAGCCTTCTCAGTCTTACTGTCCTGTCCCGGACAACTGTCCTCCAGATCTGTCACTATCCAAGGGGTCCTAGGACAGCCAGTCACTAGATACTTCTCCCAGCCACTAAGTTGTGACTGGGGAACTTTATACTTTTCACATGCTTTTCTAATTATGCCTGAAAGCCCCACTCCCTTGTTAGGGAGAGACATTCTAGCGAAAGCAGGGGCCATTATACACCTGAACATAGGAGAAAGAACACCCGTTTATTGTCCCCCTGCTTGAGGAAGGAATTAATCCTGAAGTCTGGGCAACAGAAGGACAACATGGACGAGCAAAGAATGCCCATTCTGTTTGAGTTAAACTAAAGGATTTCACCTCCTTTCCCTACCAAAGGCAGTACCCCCTTACACCCAAGGCCCAACAAGGACTCTAAAATATTTTTAAGGACCTAAAAGCCCAAGGCCTAGTAAAACCATGCAATAGCCCCTGCAATACTCCAATTTTAGGAGTACAGAAACTCAGCGGACAGTGGAGGTTAGTGCAAGATCTCAGGATTATCAATGAGGCCATTGTCGCTCCATACCCACCTATACCTAACCCGTATACTCTGCTTTCCCAAACACCAGAGGAAGCAGAGTGGTTTATAGTCCTGGACATTAAGGATGCCTTTTTCTGCATCCCTGTACATCCTGACCTTCAATTCTTGTTTACCTTTGAAGATCCTTCGAACCCAACATCTCAACTCACCCGGACTGTTTTACCCCAAGGGTTCAGGGATAACCCCCATCTATTTGGCCAGGCATTAGCCTAAGACTTGAGCCAGTTCTCATACCTGGACACTCTTGTCCTTTGGTACATGGATGATTTAATTTTAGCTGCCCGTTCAGAAACCTTGTGCAATCAAGCCACCCAAGCACTCTTAAATTTCCTCGCCACCTGTGGCTATAAGGTTTCCAAACCAAAGGCTCAGCTCTGCTCACAGCAGGTTAAATACTTAGGGCTCAAATTATCCAAAGGCACCAGGGCCCTCAGTGAGGAACATATCCAGCCTATACTGGCTGATCCTCATCCCAAAACCCTAAAGCAACTAAAAGCTTCCTTGGCGTAACAGGTTTCTGCAGAATATGGATTCCCAGGTATGGCGAAATAGCCAGACCATTATATACACAATTAAGGAAACTCAGAAAGCAAATACCCATTAGTAAGATGGATACCTGAAGCAGAAGCAGCTTTCCAGGCCCTAAAGAAGGCCCTAACCCAAGCCCCAGTGTTAAGCTTGTCAAAGGGGCAAGACTTTTCTTTATAAGTCACAGAAAAAAACAGGAATAGCTCTAGGAGTCCTTACACAGGTCTGAGGGATGAGCTTGTAACCCGTGGCATACCTAAGTAAGGAAATCGATGTAATGGCAAAGGGTTGGCCTCATTGTTTACGGGTAGTGGCAGCAGTAGTAGTCTTAGTATCTGAAGCAGTTAAACTAATACAGGGAAGAGATCTTACTGTGTGGACATCTCATGATGTGAATGGCATACTCACTGCTAAAGGAGACTTGTGGCTGTCAGACAACCATTTACTTAAATATCAGGCTCTATTACTTGAAGGGCCAGTGCTGCGACTGTGCACTTGTGCAACTCTTAACCCAGCCACATTTCTTCCAGACAATAAAGAAAAGATAGAACATAACTGTCAGCAAGTAATTGTTCAAACCTACGCTGCTCAAGGGGATCCTTTAGAGGTTCCCTTGACTGATCCTGACCTCACCTTATGTACTGATGGAAGTTCCTTTGTAGAAAAAGGACTTCGAAAAGTGGGGTATGCAGTGGTCAGTGATAATGGAATACTTGAAAGTAATCCCCTCACTCCAGGAACTAGTGTTCAGCTGGCAGAACTAATAGCCCTCACTAGGGCACTAGAATTAGGAGAAGGAAAAAGGGTAAATATATATACAGGCTCTAAGTATGCTTACCTAGTTCTCCATGCCCATGCAGCAATATGGAGAGAAAGGGAATTCCTAACTTCCAAGGGAACACCTATCAAACATCAAGAAGCCATTAGGATATTATTATTGGCTGTACAGAAACCTAAAGAGGTGGCAGTCTTACACTGCCGGGGTCATAAAAAAAAAAAAAAAAAAGGAAAGGGAAGTAGAAGGGAACTGCCAAGCAGATGTTGAAGCCAAAAGAGCCACAAGACAGGACCCTCCATTAGAAATGCTTATAGAAGGACCCCTAGTGTGGGGTAACCCCCTCCAGGAAACCAAGCCCCAGTACTCAGCAGAAGAAATAGAATGGAGAACCTCAAGAGGACATACTTTCCTCCCCTCAGGATGGCTAGCCACCAAAGAAGAAAAAATACTTTTGCCTGCAGCTAACCAATTGAAATTACTTAAAACCCTTTACCAAACCTTTCACTTAGGCATTGATAGCAACTATCAGATGGCTAAATTATTATTTACTGGACCAGGCCTTTTCAAAACTATCAAATAGATAGTCAGGGCCTGTAAAGTGTGCCAAAGAAATAATCCCCTGCACTGCAGGCCATACATTTCAATCCCTGTATCTTTAACCTCCTTGTTAAGTTTGTCTTTTCCAGAATCAAAGCTGTAAAACTACAAATCATTCTTCAAATGGAGCCACAGATGCCGTCCATGACTAAGAGCTACCGTGGACCATTGGACCGGCCTGCTAGCCCATGCTCCAATGTTAATGACATCGAAGGCACCCCTCCTGAGGAAATCTCAACTGCACAACCCCTACTATGCCCCAATTCAGGAGGAAGCAGTTAGAGCGGTCGTCGGCCAACCTCCCCAACAGCACTTGGGTTTTCCTGTTGAGAGGGGGTACTGAGAGACAGGGCTAGCTGGATTTCCTAGGCCGACTAAGAATCCCTAAGCCTAGCTGGGAAGGTGACCGCATCCACCTTTAAACACGGGGCTTGCAACTTAGCTCACATGTGACCAATCAGGTAGGAAAGAGAGCTCACTAAAATGGTAATTAGGCAAAAACAGGAGGTAAAGAAATAGCCAATCATCTATTGCCTGAGAGCACAGCAGGAGGGACAATGATTGGGATATAAACCCAGGCATTCGAGCCGGCAACGGCTAACCTCTTTGGGTCCCCTCCCTTTGTATGGGAGCTCCATTTTCACTCTATTAAATCTTGCAACTGCAAAAAAAAAAAAAAAAAGAAAAAGAACTCCAAGTCTAATAAGACCAGAGACCTGCCCTTTATGGGTCTGCAGACTATTGCAGATAAACAAATAATTGGAACATGACATAGTGTGACCATCAACAAAAATATGTACAAATACAGTGATGGTGCGAAGAAGAGAGTTTGCAGCTCTGTTTAGTTGGGTCAGGGAAACTTTCACTTATATAGAGATGATTGAACTTGGTTTTGAAGGAAAACCAGGAGTTCACTAGCACCAATTATATGGAGGGGATGGGGAGTGTAATATAATCTGTAAGGAGGGATTTAAATGTGAAAAGAAACAGATTAAGGAAGTAAAAGTTCAGGAAGGTGTACCCACTAGTTTGGGAGAAACATAGATGGTTCCATAAAATGTCCCAAGAGAGGAGAGCAGAGACCAGTTTATAATAAGTTGAGTGCTGTGCTAAGGAGATTTGATCTTTTGAAAACTTTCAGTTGTTGAATTTTGCTCTACTAGATGGACAAGTCTTTATGGGAAACTCTCAAATAATATCAATTTATCTAGCCAAACCTAAAAGCAATCTTACTCCTAGAATGACTATCTGGAAGCTTTATACATTAAAAAAATTATTGTTGAATATGCTTCTGTGTCGACTAATGACTTAATTTATCTTCCAAACTGGGTTAGTTTTGTTAGAGGCAGCAGTAGCCGGATGGAACATTGGAACAATAGGAATAAGACAGGATTATCCCACACAACCCAAGGCCCACGACCAACCAACCTTGACCCAAATGGGTTGGAAGCTCAGACGGAAAGTCATAGTTCCTGCTCTCTAGGGGCGCATATCCTGAGGAAGGGGGAGGAGGGATGATATGGTGGAACATTCTGGGACTGTGAGCTCCATATTTGGGGATGTAGGTGTGTGTGTTACGGGGGTGGACTTGGAATTCCTCTCTGTCTGTGTGGGTTAAAATGAGAGCTCCGAGCGCTGATAGCTCTCAAAACTCTGGATCATCTTTAAAGACCTGTGGCACACAGACCACTGGACAAAGTTCTGCTGCCTCTTTCTCTTGGGAAGTCTGTAAATATGAAGCTGTTTCTGGTTCTCATTATTCTGCTGTTTGAGGTACTCACAGGTAACTTGTCCAAATGTACTATAACATCCTAAGAGATATTACTATTTGTAAGAGTGGGAACAGGACTTTCAAGATTATTTATATTTGGCCAAAATCATAAAAAAGTACCCATTCTCCTGGTTGCCTGACTTGAGTCTATGCCTTAGAAGAGAGGCACCCAAGGAGGTAAGAGGAGGTCAGGGCTATAGTGGACTCTCAGGAGTCCTTTTCAAAAGTATCCATGAACTCATCATCTAGAATTATCTTTATAATGCTGGACACAGTTTTCACCTGAGAGCCTGGCCATTCCCTTTTCCATTCAAATTCATTTTCAGCCTGTACTACAACAGTAATTAAAATAGCACACATTTTGGAGTCATGTCAATGTGAGGTTAAAATATGTCTTCATCATTGACGGGTTGTATGAATTAAGCACATTATTTCCTTTTAATCTCAATTTTCTCATCTGTGAAGGAGTATAATTACTATATTTCATGATTCTATTTGATGTACAGGTTACATGAACTTACAAGCACGAAGCACAAAGTTCATCGTAGAAGCCCTGTCAGTGAGAGTTACCTTCTCTCTTGCTAGGAAGAAGGCATATTGTATTTTTATGGCCCCAAAATATACTCCTCTAACCCTCAAAGATGTTCCCTGATTCTGAAGTTTAGGATAGGGAGAGTATGTCTCTCTTCTCCAACCTTATTCTTTGGGCTTGTTCAAATTTTGGGTAGAGGGGCAAATAAGGATTAGAAACAAGAGACTTAGAATTTCAGTGCATTACTCTGAGAAGGTGACAATGTAGCTCTCTAGAGCCAAATTCATGGAATTGAATTTGATCCCTGGGCAACACATTTATCTGAGATCAAGGGGAGTGTGATGAGTGACAGACAGGAGGAGCCAGGTTAAGGGAAGGAGTTCTCAATAGCACCTGTTGCTGAGACCCATGAGATCTTGTCAAAGGGAGATTTCTGTTGCCCATATCAGTGAGTGTGAAACCGAATTAAGTTAAAAAGTCTTGTTTGTGATGTTCTTTCAAAAGTTGCTTTGGCTGAGTTGTGCCAATGGTGACATGTCTTGTGCACATGGTGACATGTTAGCCGTCTCTGGGGACATGAGACTGAGATGGAGCTGAGAGAGTGCTGACTTTGGAGCTTGGTGGAGAGAGTCAGCTTTGCCATGGTCCTAGGGGTGGGACTTGGCTCTGGTTGATAACCAGGAATTGAGTTCTCTCTTCTCTTTTGTCATATCAGTTCTAATGTTCTCAGAGGCAACTGGACATTGGCTGAGAGCCTGGGCTTTTGAATGTCCTTAATTTGGGATATTTTTCAAGGAGGGGCCTCTGAGTTTCCTTTTATCAGCATAATGTTCACTTGGGACCATAGGAGGCCATGACTTGTGGGGAACCACATACCTACCTCTTCTGCTCTTCCTTACGCACTAACCTTGGTTCAATGTTGTTTCCTATGCACAGACGGGGCAAGACTCAAAAAATGCTTCAATAAAGTAACAGGCTATTGCAGGAAGAAATGCAAGGTAGGAGAAAGATATGAAATAGGATGTCTAAGTGGGAAATTATGTTGTGCTAATGATGAAGAAGAGAAAAAACATGTGTCATTTAAGAAGCCACATCAACATTCTGGTGAGAAGCTGAGTGTGCTGCAGGATTACATCATCTTACCCACCATCACCATTTTCACAGTCTAATCCTAAATCTAGCCCTTGTCTCGCTGGTCTCCACTCTTCCTAAATAAAAAGTGCTGCCTAATCCAGCAGCCTGCAGCAAAAGATTCATCTGCTTCCTTCTGTGAACTTGATTCCCCACATAATAAAGTCCTGTGCTTTCCTCTGAGTACATTTATTGATGTAGTCACTCATTTTTTGAACACTTCAAACATAAATGAATGGTTGCCATGTTCCTGGTTTTATACCAGTAAGATGGGGGATATAAAAATTAAGTAAACATATTGGTAGAGGTGGAATTTAGCCTTTCCATTTTTAAGAAAATAATTTCAACTTTTATTTTAGCCTCAGGGGTACATGTGCAGATTTGTTACATTGGTGTACTGTGTGTTGTTGAGGTTTGGGGTACAACTGATCCCATCACTCAGGTCCTGAATATAGTACCCAACAGTTAGTTTTTCAACCCTTTCTCCTCTCCTCCTTCCCTCTTCTATTAGTCCCCAGTGTCTATTGTTCCCATCGTTATGTCAATGTGTACCCAATGTTTAGCTCCCACTTATTAGTGAGAACATATGGTATTAGGTTTCCTATTCCTGTGTTAATTCGCTTAGGATAATGGCCTCCAGCTGCATCCATGTTGCTGCAAAAGAGGTAATTTTATTTTTTTATGGCAGCATGGTATTCCATTGTGTATATGTACCACGTTTTCTTTATCCAATCCACTGTTGATGGGAACCTAGGTTGATTCCATGTCTTTGCTATTATGAATAGTGCTGCGATCAACATACACGTGCATACATCTTTTTGGTAGAACAATTTATTTTCTTTTGGATATATACCCAGTAATGGGATTGCTGAGTTGAATGGTAATTATGTTTTAAGTTCTTTGAGAAGTCTCCAAACATCTTTCCATAGTGGCTGAACAAATTTACATTTCCACTAACAGTGTATAAGCATTCCCTTTTCTCTGCGGCCTTGCCAGCATCTGTTGTTTTTTGATTTTTTAGTAATAGCTACTCTAAGTGGTGTAAAGAGGTTATCTCATTGTGATTTTGATTTGCATTGCTCTGGTGTTCAGTGATGCTGAACATTTTTTCATATATTTGTTGCCCACTTGTACGTGTTCTTTTTAGAGGTGTCTGTTCATGTCTTGTGCGCACTTTTTAATGGGGCTATTTTCTTTTTGCTTGTTGAATTAAGTTCCTTATAGATGCTTGATATTAGACCTTTGTCAGAGGCATAGTTTGTGATATTTTCTACCATTGTATGTTGTCTTTTTACTCTGTTGATAGTTTCTTTTGCTGTGCAGAAGCTCTTTAGTTTAACTAGGTCCCACTTGTCAATTTTTGTTTTTGTTGCAATTGATTTGAGGACTTAGTCATAAATTATTTCCCAAGACCTATGTCCAGAATGGTGTTTCTAGGTTGTCTTCTAGGATTCTTGTAATTTGAGTTCTTACATTTCTATCTTTAATCCAGCTTGAGTTAATTTTTTATATGGTGAGAGGAGGGGTCCAGTTTTATTCTTCTATATGTGGCTTGCCAGCTATCCCAGCACCATTTATTGAATAAGGAGCCCTTTTCCCATTGCGTATTTTTGTTGACTTTGTCAAAGATCAGATGGCTGTAGGCATGCAGCTTTATTTTTGGATTCTTTATTCTGTTCCAGTGGTCTATATGTCTGTTTTTGTATCAGTATTATGCTGTTTCAGTTACTGTAACCTTATCGTGTAGTTTGAGATGGGTAATTAGATGCCTCTGGCTTTGTTCTTTTTGCTTAGAATTGTTTTGCCTATTCAGGCTCTTTTTTTGGCTCCATAAGAACTCAGGATAGTTGTTTCTAATTCTGTGAAAAATGGCTTTGGTAGTTTGATAGGAATAACATTGAATCTGTAGATTGCTTTGGGCAGAATGACTGTTGAAATGATATTGATTTTTCCAACCCATGGGCATGGAATGTTTTTCCATTTGCTTGTGACATCTATAATTTTTTAAAGCAATGTTTTATAATTCTCCCTGAATCTGAAGAGATCTTTCACCTTCTTAGTTAGAAAAAAATCCTAGGCTTTTTTTTTGAGTGTGTGGTTATTGAAAATGGGATTGCATTCTTGATTTGACTCTCAGCTTGAACATTATTGGTGTATAGAAATGCTGTTAATTTTTATACTTTGACTTTTGTATCCTGACACTTTACTGAAGTCGTTTATCAGTTCCAGGAGTCTTTTGGTGGAGGCTTTAAGGTTTTCTAGGCATATAATCTGCTGTCAATGAAGAAAGATAGCTTGACTTCTTCTTTTCCTATTTGGATGCCTTTTATTTCTTCCTCTTGCCTGATTGCTCTGGCAAGCACTTCCAGTAATAGGCTGAATCTGAGTGGTGAGAGTGGGCATTCCTGGGAATGTTCCAGAAAACTGGAATGTTCCAGAAAGCATTCCCAGTTCTCAAGGGAAATGCTTTCAGTTTTTGCCCATTCAGCATGATGCTGGCTGTGGGTTTGTCATAGGGGCTCTTATTATTTTTGAGTATGCTCCTACGATGCCTAGTTTGTTGAGGGGTTTTTAAATGAAGGGATGTTGGGTTTATCAAAAGGTTTGCTGCATTTATTGAGATGATCATATGGTTTTTGTTTTTAATTCTGTTTATATGGTGAATCACACTTGTTCATTTGCATATGTTGAACCAACCTTGCATCCCAAGAGGGAGGTCTGTTTGCTCATGGCGAATTAACTGTCTTTTTTTAGTATTCTTTGATTCAGTTTGCTAGTATTTCTTAAGGATTTCTGCATTTTTTTCATCAGGGATATTGGCCTGTAGTTTTCTTTTTTTGTTGTGTCTTTGCCAGGTTTTGGTACCAGGGTGATGCCTACTTTGTAGAATGAGTTAGGGAGGTATCTTTCTTCTTGCTTTTTTGAAATAGTTTTAGTAGAATTGGTATGTCTAGTAAAATTGGGCTGTGAATCCATCTGGTTCAGGGCCTTTTTTAGTTAATAGGTTTTTAATTGATGACTCAATTTTGGAACCTGTTATTGGTCTGTTCAGGGTTTCAGTTTCTTTCTGGTTTAATCTTGGGAGATTGTATGTTTCCAGGAATTTATCCACTTCCTCTAGATTTTCTAGTTTGTGTGCATAGAGGTGCTCATAATAGTCTCTTTCATATTTCTGTGGGATCTGTTGTAATGTCACTTTTGTTGTTTCTATTTGTGCTTATTTGGATCTTCTCACTTCTTTTGTTAATCTACTAACAAAAAATAGTGGTCTATTGATCTCGTTTATCCCTTAAAAAAACAAACTTGTAATGTCACTGTGTCTTTGTATGGATTTTTGAGCCTCAATTTCATTCAGTTCTACACTGATTTTAGTTATTTTTTTTCTTCTGCTAGCTTGGTGGTTAGTTTGTTTCTGTTTTTCTAGTTCCTGTAGGTGTGACGTAATATCATTAATTTGAGATCTTTCTAGCTTTTCAAGGTCAGTGTTTAGTGCTATAAACTTTCTTTCTAACACTGTTTTCACTGCATCCCAGATATTTTGGTATGCTATGTCTCTGTTTTCATTTATTTCAATGAATTTTTAAATTTCTGCCTTCATTTTGTTGTTTATCCAAAAGTGGTTTAGGAGCAAGTTGTTTAATTTTCATGTAATTGTGTGGTTTTGAAGGTTCTTGGTATTGATTTCTATTTTTTTCCAGTGTGGTCTGAGAGTTTGGTTGGCATTATTTTGGTATTTTGAATTTGTTGATAGTTATTCCATGGCCTAGCATGTGGTCAATCTTGGAGTCTGTTCCATGTGCAGATGTGAAGAATATATATTCTGTGGTTGATGGATGGAATATTCTGTAGATGTCTATTAAGTTGAATTGGTCAAGTGTCAAGTTTAAGTCCAGGATTTCTTTGTTAGTTTTCTGCCTCAATCATCTATCTAATGCTGTCAGTGGGGTGTTGAAGTCCCCCAATATAATCATGTGGCTAAGTCTTTTCATAGGTCTAGAAGTAGTTTTTTTAATGAATCTAGATGCTCCAATATTGGGTGCATATATATTTAGGATAGTTAAGTCTTCTTATTGAATTTAACCCTTTATTGTCACGTAATGCCCTTTTTTATCTTTCTAAGTAGTTGTTGGTTTAAAGTTTGTTTTATCTAAGAATAATGACCCCTCCTCTTTTTCTGTTTTTTGTTTATGTGGTAGATCTTTCTCCAACCATTTACTTTGAGCCTATGGGTGTCATATATGTGATATTGGTCTCTTGAAGACTGCAGACAGATGAGTTTTCTTTTCTTTTCTTTTCTTTTCTTTTCCAACTTGCTACTCTGTGCCTCTTAAGTGGAGCATTTAGAGTGTTCATATTCAAGGTTAATGTTAATATGTGAGGTTTTGATCCTATCATGGAGTTGTTAGCTGGTTGCTTTGTAGTTTCTATTGTGTGGTTGCTTATTAGGGTCTGTGGGCCACGTACTTAAGTATGTTTTTGTAAATGCAAATATCGTTCCTTTGTTTCCATATTTAGAACTCCCTGAAGGGTCTCTTGTAAGACTGCCTTTAATAATAAGGATTTCTCTTAGTACTGGAGTGTCTGGAAAAGATTTTATTTCTCTTTCATTTATTAATCTTAATTTGACAGGATATGAAATTCTTGGTTGGAATTTCTTGTCTTTAAGAAGGTTGAAAATAGGCACCCAATCTCTCCTGGCTTGTAACAACTCCATTTTCTATGCGAGACAATATTTCACAGAATTTCAGGTATTTCTCCTGTTTCACAAATGAAATTTCTTTTGTCTAATTAGATCTGAATGCCGTGTGTGTGTGTGTGTGTGTACAGAGGGTTCTGCTAACAGCTAGGAATTAGTTAGAGGGAGAAAAAATGTTTGAATATTTTCATAACACTTTTTTGAGGGCAGATCTGATGGGCAAACATGACAGCTACTGGTAATTCCGATATATCATTTGAATCATTTAATGTATGTGTTCCATCTCCATTTTCAGTAGCAATTTGAACATCTAGTTGACAGAATTTTTAGACAAAGATTATCTTAAGATCTCTAAAAGCATTGCATATCATTTGTTTCAGTATGAAATTTAAAGTCTTATAAATGAGGGGGACGTACTTAAGAAGCTCCTCATGAGATAGATGAAATTGTAGTAGGTCATGATGGTAGAAAATGCTGTCCAGATGAACAGAAGAGAAATTTTGTGGTGACATTTGTTGATGCTGCTTAATTTAAGGCACTGGTCATAAATAACTTTTGTAGAGCTAATATTTACTCATGTGAGATAAAGAAATCAATGAACCTTATTACTCCATGAGCAGCTCACCACCTTGTTTCAGGGGGAGGAAGGAGAAAAATATTTAGCTGGATATATTAAAGTTTCAAGAGCATACAAGAACCTTCCTTTTAGTAGTTTGGCTTTTGAAAATTCTGGAGAAGTGCACAGGTAACAGTGACTGGACTTTGCAGAATTTTAGAAATTTTTGTTGATGATTTCAGCACTATGAAAGTCAATGTATGACCTTTTTCAACCTAATTCTTAGGGAACTTTAAAAGTAAGGCTCACATAAGAAGCCCTTTTTTTCACTGCAGCACTTTATAAGCCCCTTTCTTTTTTAGTCTTTCATTACAATGTCACCAGGGGTATTTTAAAGGAGGGTCCATTCTGTCACTGTGACAGTGAAGATGGGTCTGGCTCACTGTCTTTAATCTACATGTGTCCTCTACTCTATATGATTCTACTGATAAATTAGATAAGAGAATCCATTTTGGCTTAGTGTCAGATAAATCAGAGAAGTGTCTTCTGAGTTGGGGGTGAGGGATATACTTAATTGAACAGATAAATTAACCCTTGAATTCTGCTCTGACTGGGGGGATCTAATCTTCGCTTTGACTTTTTTCTTTTATTCTTTTATCCCCTCCATACTCATAGAAGACGTGGATGTGGTCAGTATTGTTAGATGCATGTTTATTTGTTCACTTTTTTTTATGCAAAATTAAGTTGAAATTGTATATTTTTATTATTCACTCTTTTGGTACAGACAGAATTATTGGTACCTGCTCTTGCATCTGTCTTAGAGTAGTCTCCAAAATCTTATTCATAGACTCTTTCAAATTATTTTATTTTATTTTATTATGAAGATTTATTTTACATATATTTTTTCCTTTTTATATTATATTCTAGTTTTATTATATAATTCATATATTATATGTAATATTTATTTTTTAAAAACTTTTTTATTGATACATAGTATTTGTACATATTTCTGGGCACATGTGATATTTTGATACATGCATATAATGTGTAATAATCAAGTCAGATTATTTAGGATATCCAGCACCTTGGACATTTGTCCTTTCTTTGTGTTGGGAACATTTCAAAACTTCTCTTTTAGCTATTTTGAAATATACAATAAATTGTTGTTAACAATAGCCACTCTGCTGTGCTATCAAACACTAGAACTGATGCCTTCTATCTAACTTTGCAAGATTTGTTTTATAATGTTATAACCACAACACTCCCATTTGAAAGGAGGAAAAGTTGGTTGTACACAGCAGTCACTGGTTCATAGCCATTTGGAAATCATGCTGGGGTAGCAGTACCCTTATAATAAAGCCAGAGCAAGGGCATACAAGAAAAAAAAGTTATAGGTCGATGTCCCTAGAACAGAGATACAAAAACCTCAAGAAAATACTAGCAAATTGAATTCAACAATACTTTAAATGGATTATTCACCATGATCAAGTGAGATTTATCTACATTAACAGAGTGATGGGTAAAAACCATATGATCATCTCAACAGATGCAGAAAAAACACTTGACAACATTCAGCGTCCTTTTGTGATAAAACTCAACAAATTAGATACAGAAAGAATGATCTCAACACAATAAAGATCATATATGACAAGCCCCATTTAACATCATACTCAATGGTGAACAGTCAAAAGCTTTTTCTTTAAGATAAAGAACAAAATAATGCCCACTTTTGCCACTTCTATCAATGTAGTACTGGAAATTCTAGCCAGATTAATTAGGCAAGAAAATGCAATAAAAAGAGCATTAAAATGGGAAGGAAGAAGTGAAATTGTTTCTTTTTGCAGATGACATAATCGTATATACAGAAAATCCTGAAGACTTTGCCAAATAACTATTAGAACTAATAAATGAATTCAGTAAAGTGGCAGGATATAAATTCAACATACAAAAATCAGCAGCTTTTCTGAATACTAACAAGAACACCTGAGAAGTGAATCAAGTAAATGATCCTTTTACAATAGCTACAAAAATACTTAGGAATAAATTTAACAAAGAGGTAAAAGGCCTCTACACTAAAATGTATAAAACTTTGATGGAAGAAATTGAAGAAGACACAGATGGAAAGATATCCCATGTTCATGAAAGTAAAAAATTAATATTGTTAAAATATCTGTAGTACCCAAAGTGGTCTATAGATTTAATGCAATCCCTATCAAAATTCCAAAGACATTTTTTACTGAAACAGAAAAAAATCTTAAAATTTGGATTGAACCACAAAAGATTTTGAATAGCCAAAACAATCTTGAGCAAAAAGAACAAAGCTGAAGGCATCACACTACCTGACTTCAAAATATACTATGAAAGAGAATAAGTGTTGGAAAGGATGTGGAGAAATGGGAACCCTTGCACACTGTTGGTGGGAATAAAAATTAGTATAGCTATTATGGAAAACTGTATGGAAGTTCCTTAAAAAATTAAAATGAAAACTACTATATGATCCAGCAATCCCATTACTGGGTATATAGCTAATGGAAATAAAATCAGCATGTTGAAAAGATATCTGCACTTTCATGTTAATTTCAGCATTATTCACAATAACCAAGGCATGGAATCAACTTAAGTGCCCATTAATAGATGAATTAATAAAGAAAATGGTGGTACATAATCACAATGGAATACTTTTCAGCTTTAAAAAAGAAGTAAATTCTGTCATTTGCAACAACATGGATGAACCTGGAGGACAGTAAGCTAAATGAAATAAACCAGGCACAGAAAGACATGATCTCACTTCTATGTAGAGTGTAAAAAAGTTGAATTCATAGAAACAAAGAGTAAAATGGTAGTTATCAGAGGCTAGGGGTGGGGAAATCACTTAGACAGGAAAAATAAGCTCAAGAGAGTTCAGGCACGGTGGCTCATGCTTATAATCCTAGCACTTTGGGACACTGAGGCAGGCAGATCACCTGAGGTCAGGAGTTTGGGACCAGTCTGGCCAACATGGTGAAACCCCGCCTTGACTAAAAATGCAAAAATTAGCCAGGCGTGGTGGCATGTGCCTGTAATCCCAGCTACTTGGGAGGCTGAGACAGGAGAATCACTTGAACTGGGGAGGCAGAGGTTGCAATGAGCCAAGATCGCACCATTGGACTCTGGCCAGAGCAACAAGAGCAAAACTCTGTTTTCAAAAGAAGAAAAAAAAAATTCAAGAGCTCTATTTACATCATGGTGGCTACAGTTAGTGATAATATACTATATATTTGAAAATTCCATTGTGCATATATATCACAATGTAAGAAAAAATTTTATCTTATTTTCTTTGAGACAAAATCTCACTTGGTAGCCTAGGCTGGAGTACAGTGGCACGATCTCAGCTCACTGCAACCTTGAGCTCCTGGGCTCAAGTAATCTTCCTGCCTCAGTCTCCTGAGCAGCTGGGACTACAGGCGCACCTCCACATTTTGCTGATTTTGTTTATTTTTTGTAGAGACAAGGTCTATGTTGCCCAGGCTGGTCTTGAACTCCTGGGCTCAAGCAATCCTCCTGCCTCAGCCTCCCAAAGTGTTTGGATTACAGGTGTGAGCCACCACACCCAGCCTTATTTTAAAATCTAGATTCAGGGGATAAATGTACAGATTTGTTACATGGGCTTATTGTGTGATGCTGAGGTTTGGGCTTCTAATGACCCTGTCACCCAAGTAGCAAACATAGTACAGAATAGATAGTTTTTCAACATTTGCTCCTCTCCCTTCCTTATCCCCTTTAAAATCTTCACTGTCTATTTTTCCCATCTTTATGTCTGTGTGTACCTAATATTAATTTCACTCACATCCATGTGAAGAGACCACCAAACAGGCTTTGTGTGAGCAACAAGGCTATTTCACCTGGGTGCAGGCGGGCTGAGTCCGAAAAGAGAGTCAGTGAAGGGAGATAGGGGTGGGGCCATTTTATAAGATTTGGGTAGGTAAAGGAAAATTACAGTCAAAGGGGAGTTGTTCTCTGGCAGGCAGGAGTGGGGGTCACAAGGTGCTCAGTGGGGGAGCTTTTTGAGCCAGGATGAGCCAGGAGAAAGGATTTCACAAGGTAATGTCATCAGTTAAGGCAAGGACCAGCCATTTTCACTTCTTTTGTGGTGGAATGTCATCAGTTAAGGCATTAACAGGCCACTTTCACTTCTTTGGTGATTCTTCAGTTACTTCAGGCCATCTGGGCATATACATGCAGGTCACAGGGGATGCGATGGTTTAGCTTCGGCTCAGAGGTCTGACATTCCTGCCTTCTTATATTAATAAGAAAAATAACATAAAATAGTATTGAAGTGTTGGGGCAGCGAAAAAAATATTTTTGGTGGGGGGCTGGCATGGAGAGATAATGGGTGATGTTTCTCAGGGCTGCTTTGAGCAGGATTGGGTCATGGAACCTAGAGTGGGAGAGATTGAGCTGAAGGAAGATTTTGTGGTAAGGGGTGATATTGTGGGGTTGTTAGAAGAAACATTTGTCGTATAGAATGATTGGTGAGGGCCTGGATACGGTTTTGGATGAACTGAGAAACTAAATGGAAGATACAAGGTCTGAATAAAAGAAGGAGAAAAATAGGTATTAAAGGACTAAGAATTGGGAGGACCCAGGACGTCTAATTAGAGAGTGCCCAAGGGGGTTCAGTGTAATTACTTGCTTGGCTGGCAAGTTTTTGGGCTCTATTCTTGAGTTTTTTTATGTTGTCATATACCAGGCCAGATTGATTTACATAAAAACAACACTCTTCATTTAAGAATATACAGAGTCCTCCTTTTTCAGCAGTGAGTAAGTCAAGGCCTCGGTGGTTTTGGAGGACAACTGCAGCTAAAGAGTCAACTTGGGCCTGGAGGACTGATAAAGTTTGTGATATGTCTGTGGTGCTAGCAGAGAAGTCATTAGACAGGCTATGGAAGGTCGTGACAGAGGTTGAAATGCCTGCTATTCTAGTACTGAGAGCAATAGTGGAGGCAGAAAGTCCTAAACCGACAAGCAAGGGAATTAGTGGAATAACTCTTTTTTGTCGTGTCAGTGTCGTGAGGGGAACAGGGAGCTCTTCGGTCCCATTTGCAAATTGAATTTTGGGAGTAAGGAAAACTAGTGTGCATGTGCCTGTCCAATTAGCAGGTAGACACATGTAGGTAGAGGATCCACAGAGGAAGAAGAGACCTTGTGTGAGGCAAAACCGGAGATGCAAAGTAAAAAGATGAGAAGGAATGCTGAAAGGAGTGTCTTGTACCTAGACTCTTAGGGATCCAGCTGGGGTGGCAGCCATCAGAGGTTGTAATGGGGACTGATGGGGTAACTGCATAGAGGGGGAGGTTTGATTTTCATGGTGTATGAGAAAACGTCAAGTGTCTACAAGCAAACTTTCACTGTTATTTACAGGGCTGGGTATAAGTAAACAAGAAGAGGGCCTGGGAGGAGAGTCTGATGAGCAAGGGGAAGGCAGCCAAAGATGGAGTGAAATACAGGGTAAGTGTCTTCCTAAGCAATAATTACAGCTAATGTTTTTAAGTTTGCCAGTATTGATAGAGGGCTTGTCTGTAATATGTAGCTGGAAGGCTCCTATTGTTTCAGTGATGTGTGTAGTTGGGCTTTGGAGATGAAGAATAAAGGAACATCGAGAAGGTGAAAGGTTACCTAGGGGAATTCCAGTGGGTCTTTGCCGAGAGATACATAAAGGAGCGGCCACAGGAATAGTAGTTTGTGTTGTGAGAGGTCCAAATATTGGGGGAGTAGAGTTGATATAAGGAGAAAGGTTTTTTAATTAAGTGCGGAGGAGGGCGGCAGCTTGCTGATGTGAGATGTCTCAGGAGGTGTTGCTGGACCTGTCTAGAAAGTAAATGAGTTCTTCAGGAGGGTAAAGGTGAGGGCTGTTAAAGGAAGTTTGGAGGTGTAAGGAGATAGGAGATGTTGCCTAGTCTGCATGTAAGGTGGGGACAACTGTGTAGGTGCTGGAAGAAAGGGAAATGCAAAGCCAGCGGTTGTTCACTAAGGAGGGATTAGAAACGGCTAGGAGAGAATGGGTAAGGTTGATAGTGTGGTGGAGATAGCTGGGGAGAGGTAGAGGGTGGCATAAGAATGGGAATGAGAATAAGAGTGAGTATAAAAGTAAAGAATAGAACTTCATCAGGGTGAAAAGATTGGAGGGTCCCCTGCCAGCAAAGAGCATCTATCCACTCTAAGAGGGAGTTAAGAGTTGCCAGTCCTGGGCAGGGGAAAATCCCTGAGCTTGATGTGTAGGGAAGGGAGGGGGCCTGAATAATCCCTGAGGAGTAGTAGAATAGCAGATGGAACACTGAGAAGTTATTTCCTTGAGGACAGATTTCCATGATGGAAAGGAAATGAGAGGTTCTAAGAGGTGGGCTGGTGGCTTGTACTATAGCATAGCCTGCCTTTGCTGGTGTGTAGCGATTAGGCCTAGTGGAACTGCCATCAATAAACTAAATGTGATCAGGGTGAGGAACAGGGAAGAGGGAAATAATGGGGGAAATGCGGTGTACGTCAGGTGGATCAGAGAGATACAGTCATGAGGGTCAGGTGTGGTATCCAGAATAACGTGGGAGGCCGGATTGAAGTCTGAGCCAGGAACAAGGGTAATTGTGGGAGACTCAAAAAAGAGTGAGTACAGCTGAAGGAGCTGGGGAGCAGAAAGTATATGTGTCAGGTATGAGGAAGAAAATAGATTTTGGAAGTTATGAGAACTGTAGAGAGTGAGTTGAGCATAGTTTGTGATTTTGAGGGCCTCTAAAAGTATTAGGGCGGCGGCAGCCGCTGCACGCAGACATGAGAGCCAGGCTAAAAGAGTAAGGTCAAGTTGTTTGGACAGAAAGGCTACAGGGCATGTTCCTGGCTCTTGTGTAAGAATTCTGACTGCACTAACCATGCCTAGAAGGAAGGGAGTTGTTGTTTTGTAGAAGGGATTGGGGTTTGGGAGATTAGTCGGACACGATCAGCAGGGAGAGCACCTGTGTTTTTATGAGAATTATGCCGAGATGGGTAACAGATGAGGATGAAATTTGGGCTTGACTGAAGTAATGGGGGCTGTCTGTGAAGGCTTGCGGCAGTACAGCCCAGGTAATTTGCTGAGCCTAATGGGTGTCAGGGTCAGTCCAAGTGAAAGCGAAGAGAGGCTGGGATGTAGGGTGCAAAGGAATAGTAAAGAAAGCATGTTTGAGATCCAGAACAGAATAATGGGTTGTGGAGGGAGGTATTGAGGATAGGAGAGTATATGGGTTTGGCACCACGGGGTGGATAGGCAAAATAATTTGGTGGATAAGGTGCAGATCCTGAACTAACCTGTAAGCCTTGTCCGGTTTTAGGACAGGTAAAATGGGGGAATTGTAAGGAGAGTTTATAGGCTTTAAAAGGCCATGCTGTAACAGGCAAGTGATAACAGGCTTTAATCTTTTTAAAGCGTGCTGTGGGATGGGATATTGGCATTGAATGGGGTAAGGGTGATTAGGTTTTAATGGGATGGTAAGGGGTGCATGATCAGTCACCAAGGAGGGAGTAGAGGTATCTTATACTTGTGGGTAAGGTGGGGGGATATGAGAGGAGGATGCGAAGGAGGCTTTGAACTGGGGAAAAGGGCAGCAATGAGGTGTGGCTGTAGTCCAGGAACAGTCAGGGAAGCAGATAATTTACTTAAAATATCTTGGCCTAATAAGAGAATTCGGCAGATGGGCATAACTAAAAAAGAGTGCATAAAAGAATGTTGTCTAAGTTGGCACCAGAGTTGGGGAGTTTTTAAGAGGTTTAGAAGCCTGGCCGTCAATACCTACAACAGTTATGGAGGCAAGGGAAACAAGCCCTTGAAAAGAAGGTAATGTGGAGTGGGTAGCTTCCGTATTGATTAAGAAGGGGACGGACTTTGGGGGAGGAGGTTCTGGAGGAACTCCTGGCAGCTGCGGTTCAGGCGTTTGGAGTTCTTGTGTGCTGGAGATGTGGCTGGGGATTGTCTCACAGTGGAGGCAAGGAATTGCAACTCAGAAATACATTGCTACTTGGCTGCCTCTACTCTATTATTGTACACCTTGAAGGCGAGGTTAATTAAGTCCTGTTGTGGGGTTTGAGGGCTGGAATTTACTTTTTGGAGTTTTATTTAATGTCGGGGCAGATTGGGCAATAAAATGTATATTGAGGATAAGACGGCCTTTTGACCTTTTAGGGTCTAGGGCTGTAAAGCATCTCAGGGTTGCTGCCGAATGAGCCATGAACTGGGCTGGGTTTTTCATATTTGATGAAAAAGAACCTAAACGCTAACTGATTTTGGGAGAGTTCGGATAGAGAAAAAGGAGCATTAACCATGACTATGCCTTTAGCTCCAACCACCTTTTTAAGAGGAAATTGCTGGGCAAGTGGGGTAGGGCTAGCAGGTGTGAGGAGGGGAGGTGATAAAAGGATTATAGGGTGGAGGAGCAGAGGCTGAGGAAGAATTGGGACCTGGCTCGGCCTGGCGAGGAGCAGCCTGGGGAGGAGGTAAGAGGTCAGAGGGGTCTGCAGAAAACGAAGATTAGAAAGACTCAGCAATGCTTGGGATTGGGACTGAGAGGACAGGTGGGAGGGAAAGAAGGAGGATGTGGGACGAGACACATTGGGAACAGAGACTAGGGAGGGAACAATGTGTAAAAGAATGCCTGGATGTCAAACACCTCCGACCGTTTGCCTATTTTATGAAAAGAATTATCTAGATCTTGTAGGATGGAAAAACCAAAAGTGCTGTTTTCTGGCTATTTGGAACCACTGTCGAGTTTGTACTGAGGTCAAGCGGCATTGTAGAAGAAAATAAGGCATTTAGGTTTAGGTCAGGTGTGAGTTGAAGAGGTTTTAAGTTCTTGAAAACACAGGCTAAGGGAGAAGAAGGAGGAATGGAGGGTGGAAGGCTGCCCATAGTGAAGGAGGCAAGCCCAGAGAAAAGAGAGAGTAGAGACATGGAGAGAAGGGGTGGGGGGTGTTTGCTCCCTAGAAAAGCGGTACTTGCTGCTAAGGGTGAAGGACCAAGGCAGGCGTCCCCATGTGGTCAGACACCTCTGAAATGTGGGTGAATATTCAGAGAGGCATTCCCGCAATGATTAAACACCAAGGGAAGTCTGCCTTGCTGAGTCCGTGACCCACGCCGGAGTTTTGGGTTCACGGATAAAATGCGTCTCCTGTCCCTAGGAGAAAAGGAAAGGAACTGAAATTAAGAGAAGGGAGAGATTGAAGTGTGGCGCCAAGATTGAAAGGAGAAAGAGGTTGAGGGATAGTGAGATTGAAGAAGAGAGTACAAAAAGGCCGCTTACCTGATTTAAAATTGGTGTCATGTTCCTTGGGCTGGTCAGTCTGAGGACCTGAGGTCGTAGGTGGATCTTTCTCAGGGAGCAAAGAGCAGGAGGACAGGGGATTGATCTCTCAAGGGAGGTCCCCTGATCCGAGTCACGGCACCAAAATTTCACTCGCGTCCGTGTGAAGAGACCACCAAACAGGCTTTGTGTGAGCAACAAGGCTGTTTATTTCACCTGGGTGCAGGCAGGCTGAGTCCGAAAACAGAGTCAGTGAAGGGAGATAGAGGTGGGGCCGTTTTATAAGATTTGGGTAGGTAAAGGAAAATTACAGTCAAAGGGGAGTTGTTCTCTGGCAGGCAGGAGTGGGGGTCACAAGGTGCTCAGTGGGGGAGCTTTTTGAGCCAAGATGAGCCAGGAAAAGGGATTTCACAAGGTAATGTCATCAGTTAAGGCAAGGACCAGCCATTTTCACTTCTTTTGTGGTGGAATGTCATCAGTTAAGGCAAGAACAGGCCATTTTCACTTCTTTTGTGATTCTTCAGTTACTTCAGGCCATGTAGGCGTATAGGTGCAGGTCACAAGGGATGTGATGGCTTAGCTTCGGCTCAGAGGCCTGACATTTAGCTTCCACTTACAAGGGAGAACAGGTGGTATATACCACAATTTGTTTATCCATTCATCTGTTGAACACTTAGGTTGTATCCAATATGAAATATTATTCAGTCTTAAAACAAAGAAATCCTGTCGTTTGTGCAATGTGCATGAACCTGGAGGACATTATACTAAGTAAAATAAGCCAGGCACAGGAAGAAAAATACTGCATGATATCACTTACATGTAGAATCTTGAAAAGTCAAATTCATAGAAGGAGAGAGAATAGTGATTATCAGAAGCAATGGTGGCAGAATCAAAAGATGTTGGTCAAAGAGTACGTTCCAGTATTGTAGGATGATTAAGTTTTTGAGATCTAATGCACAGCATGGGGACCTCAGTTGATAATACTGTGGCCGGAAGCAGTGGTTCACGCCTGTAATCCCAGGACTTTGGGAGGCTGAGGCAAGCAGATCACTTGAGGTCAGGAGTTCGAGACCAGCCTGTCCAACATGGTGAAACCCCGTCTCTACTAAAAATACAAAAATCAGCCAGGCATGGTGGCACATGCCTGTAATCCCAGCACTTTGGGAGGCCGAGGCAGGTGGATCACTTCAGGTCAGGAGTTCAAGACCAGCCTGGCCGACATGGCAAAACCCCGTCTCTATGAAAAATAAAAAAATTAGCTGGGTGTGGTGGAGGGTGCCTGTAGTCCCAGCTACTTGGGAGGTTGAGGCAGGAGAATTGCTTGAACCTGGGAGGCAGAGATTTCAGTGAGCTGAGATGCTGCCACTGCACTCCAGCCTGGGCCACAGAGCGAGACTCTATCTCAAAATAAATAAATAAATAAAGGCTGGGCGTGGTGGCTCACGCCTGTAATCCCAGCACTTTGGGAGGCCGAGGTGGGCGGATCACGAGGTCAGGAGATCGAGACCATCCTGGCTAACACAGTGAAACCCCGTCTCTACTAAAAATACAAAAAAACTAGCCAGGCGTGGTGGTGGGCACCTGTAGTCCCAGCTGCTCAGGAGGCTGAGGCAGGAGAATGGCGTGAACCTGGGAGCCAGAGCTTGCAGTGAGCCGAGATGGCGCCACCGCACTCCAGCCTGGGAGACACAGAGAGACTCTGTCTCAAAAAAATAAACAAATAAAAGTAAAAAATAAAAAAGAGATAATACTGTATTATATAGTTGAAATTTACTATCAGAGTAGATCTTAAGCATTCTTGTCACACACACAATGGTAACTACGTGAAGAGACTGATATGTTAATTAGCCTGACTATAGTATTCATTTCAAGATGCATATGTACATCAAAACATGACATTGTATAGCTTAAATATGCATATGTACATCAAAACATGACATTGTATAGCTTAAATATGCATATGTACAACAAAACATGACATTGTATAGCTTAAATATGCATATGTATATCAAAACATCACATTGTATAGCTTAAAAATATATAATTTTAAATAGGCGTTAAAAGAGAGAATATGGTTATCTGGCTGACAAAAGAATGTGAACACCAAACACCCATGACATGCAATTTACCTATATAACAAACTTGCACATGTATTCCTAAAACTAAAACTAAAATAAAAGCTAAAAAATAATAAATACATCAGGAAAATAAATTTTTCCCTTAGCAAAACAAGCAAACAAACAAAAAACCAAAAAAAAATTAGTACACAAATTACAGTCTAACTCTAAAGGAAACTGCCCCTGGTCTAAGTAGTTAGATTTGATGAATAAAAGATTGGCTGAATATTAGTTTGGCAGCAGAAAAATTAATTTTGCTGTCATTCCATGAGCAAAAATATAGTGGTATGCATCAGAGATATCATCGTGCAAGATTACTTTGTTCCTATACTATGAAACATGACACACTAGTATGTGATAAAGTAGTGTAGGATAGAAGTTAAGCAATTACTAATTTCAGCTAATGCTTATCTATTACTAGGTTAAGTGCAACTTTTAATAATGATGTGAGAATTGTGAAGGATGTTAAAATACAAGAGAAAGAAAGCAAATGAAATCTGAACAATAGGAAGTCTTGTGCAATATACAAATTCAAATAATAAAGTCATAAAAAGAGAGAATATGGCACAAATGAAATTGTGCTATTTCCAAGCCTATGCCTCAAAAGGCCTGTGTGCCTTTGCCTTCTCCATTGGAACCCTGCCTCAGTCAGGTGAACAAGACCAGTCTAGTCTGCAGGAAGGACAAGAGAGACATTTTGGAGAAGAACCCAGTTGTCCCAGCAGAGGCTAGCTTATATCAGTCTATAGCCATCTGACCCCCAAATATATGAAAACCAGCTGAGATCAGCGTAGCCTCCACTATTTTATTTCTTTTTGTGAAGTGCATGGAAGTTGTAAAGCTCAATTGAACTGCTGAGTGTTTGAAAAGGACAGGATGGGACAAGAGCTTCAGTATAGGATAAAGACTATATTCTTTTTAAAGTATATTTCCACAGCATGAGAATACTGACTATCATAAATGCATTTCACAATAGATATGTCATTTAAAAAGAAATATGGTGGTCTTTGGAGCAGAGATCTTGTGAAAGCCTTAGTGATTTAGGATAAATACAGAGAAAATATCAGCTGTTCCTAAAAGTTGACATTTAAAATAATTTTGAGATATGTTTAGACTTACCTACATGCAGAGAAATCCCATATACCTTTTCCCTCCAATGGTTACATCTTGTTTAACTATAATCAGGAAATTGACATTGATATACTCCATTGGTCTTAATCAGATGTCATCAGTTTTACATGTATGTAGTCATTTGTTTGTGTGTGTGCATGTAGGTATGTATTTAGTTTTACACAATTTTATGACATGCTTTGATTTTTGTGACCACCATTACAGTCAAGACACAAAACAGTTTATCACATAGACTCCTTGTGCTACCCTTTTCCAGTGAGAGCCTTCTCCCTCCTTCCCTAACCCTGGGTAAACAGGAATCTGTTCTCTAGCTCTATAATTTTGTCATTTCAAGAATGCCATATAAATGGAATCATAGATATGTAATCTTTTTAAATTGGCATTTTTACTCTTAGTGTTCCTTGAAGATCCCTCCAACTTGTATGAATACTTTGTTTCTTTTTATTGCTAAGTAATATTCCATGCTATGGATGTACTATAAATGCGATTTTTTAAAAGCCACACAGTGAAGGATATTCAGATTGTATTCAATTTCTGGCAATTATGAATAAAGCTGTTGGGAATGTCTGTGTATAGGTTTTCTTTCTTTTTTAAAATCATGGTAAGAACCCTTAACAGACATGGTATTTTCCCCGGCCGGGCACTACCACTGTTTGGGTCCTGAGGTTAGATAGGTTTTGTTCAGGGTAGTTGGGACCAGCTGCTATGCTTTGTTGAAATGCATGGTTGAGGCTTGCCCCCTTGCCTAGGCAGAGACTTGGGGTGGGCTTTGAGGCTGAGGTGAGCCACCATTTATACTTCTGGGTGTGGCTAGTCCAGCCTCTGGGCTTTGCTGAAAGGTGCTGTGGTGGGCATCTCCCTCCTTGAGTGAGCTTTGAGTCTGAGCCACTGTTTAAATGCCCTGGGGCACAAGTCTCAGTTGTTTCTTTTGTTTGAAATGCTTTGTTGCAGGTATCTCCATTTCTGCGTGGGGCCTTGGGGAGGGATTTGAGGCTGGCTGTGGAGGCTGGCCATCTAGGGACTCAAGCCAGATGGAAATTTCCACTGTGCTTCTGGGAGTGACCAGCTTGGCTTTGCAGGTGGCTTATGCTGTTGGCTGGTACCTCTGCTGGCAGTGACACAGAGCTACCAACAGTATCTTCATACTGGTCACTGTGAGCAATGCCCCCTTTTCTTTTTTTCTATCTGAACCCAGGTGATCTAACCACACCGTTATCCCCTGCTTTCCCTGTGAACTGAGACTGAAATGGGCTTTCTGAGAATATTCCAGGAATGGCTAAGGAAGCTGAATGTTCATCTTTAGTTTTCTTTTC
Source organism: Homo sapiens (assembly GCF_000001405.40). Taxonomy (NCBI): domain Eukaryota; kingdom Metazoa; phylum Chordata; class Mammalia; order Primates; family Hominidae; genus Homo; species Homo sapiens. Next base: position 168,811 of record NC_000020.11, on the reverse strand, counting down.
CCACTGGAGAAACTGTAGGCCTAGGGCAATCCTGTCTGCATAGTGGTGTGCCAACTTGGGCGAGGGAGTGGAGGAGGGGTGGCCTGGTCAAAGTGAGACCTTTTCTCTTCCCCCTTCTAATGTGGTTTTTATTCAGTTCTGTGGTCAACATGGGTGTCTTTGGCTTATTTCCAAGTTTTGGGATTTTTACCAAAGTGCTCTTGTCATGGATATCTGCCAGTTGAATTTTCTGTTGAGAGGAGGGATGCTTGGAACCTCCTATTCTGCCATCTTGCTAATGTCAGTCTAAAAATCTCCAGTTGTAGGTGAAGATTTCTCTATTTCTCTTTTTTAGTTCTACAAGCTTTTATTTTGAAGTTCTATTGTTAGTTGCATGCACATTTAGTATTGTTATATTTTCATGGTGAATTGACTTCTTTCTGTGCGTCTTGATCCCTGGTAGTATTTCTTGTTTTGAAATCTATTTTGTTCAATATTAATATAGCCACTCCAGCTTTTTAAGATATAAAGTCTTATAGCTTTTCTTTGTCTTTATATTAAATATATCTGATAAGGGATTAATATATAAAATATATAAAGAACTCATACAGCTCAGTAGCAGTAAAAAAAAACCAAACCCAATTAAAAAAATGGACAAAGACTTGAAAAGACATTTCTCCAAAGAAGACATAACAATGGCCAAGAAGTATGTGAAAAGGGGCTCAAAATCACTAATCATTAGGGAAATGTAAATCAAAACCACAATGAGACATCACCTCATGCCTGTTAGTATAACTATTACCAAAAAGACAAGATATAACAATTGTTAATGAGGGTGTGGAGAAAAGGGAACCTTTGTACATTCTTGGTGGGAATGTAGACAGATGTAGCCATTGTGGAGTCAGTATGAAGGCTTCTAAAGGAATTAGAAATAGAACTACCAGGCTGAGTGAGGTGGTTCATGCTTGTAATCCCGGTAATTTGGGAAGTCAAAGCAGGAGGATTGCTTGAGGTCAGGACTTTGAGCCCAGCCTGGGCTACACAGCAAGACCCTGTACCTAAAAAACATTGACTAAGCATGGTGTGTGTCTGTAGTCCCAGCTACTCAGGAGACTGAGGCAGGATTCCTTGAGCCTAGGAGTTTGAGATTTACAGTGAGCTATGATTGCACCACTGCATTCCAGCCTGGGCTACAGAGTAACACTGTGACACCCTGTCTTTAAAAAAAAAAATGAAATGAAATCACCACTTAACTTCATAGAGGTATCTGTACTTTCATATTTATTGCAGCATTATTCACAATAGTCAAAATTTTGAAACAAGTGAACTGTTGATAGATGAATGGATAAACTGTGACACACACACACAATGGAATATTATTTACTCTTCAAAAAGGAGATCCTGCCATTTGCCAAGGCATGAATGAACATGAAGAACATTATGCTAAATGAAATAAACTGACACAGAAAGAAAAATACTGCACTATTTCACTTATACATGGAATCTTAAAAGAAAAAAAAGGAAAGCTGAATACAAGGAGATAGAGAATAATGTGGTCGTTACCAGGGGTGTGGTTGGAGGGGAAGGAAATGGAGAGATGTAGGTCAAAGGATAAAAAATTGCAGATACGTAAGATTAAAAAAGTCTAGAGGTCTAATGTACAACGTGAGGTCTATGATAATATTATATTTTACTTGGAATTTTTGTTAAAAAAGTAGTGTGCTCTTGCGACACACACACAAAGGGAAACTATGTGAGATGATGAACGTGTTGATTTGCCTGACTATATTAACCATTTCACAACATGTATCAAAACATCATGTTGTACACCATAAATATATGCAATAAAGAATAAAGTGAGGGTTTTTTTTTGTGGTCAGTATAGAGTCAGGTCTTTTAAAATCCAATCTTACAATCTTTTTCTTTTTATTGGTGTATTTAGATCAGTGGTCCCCAGCCTTTTTGGCACCAGGGACCGGTTTAATGCAGTCAATTTTTCCATAAACTGGCAGGGATGGGAAGATGGTTTCAGGATGAAACTGTTCCACTTTGGATCATCAGGCATTAGATTCTCATAAGGAGCACGCAAAGATCCTTTGCATGTGCAGTTCACAATAAGGTTCAAACTCCTATGAGAATCTAATGCCACAGCTGATCTGACAGGAGGCAGAGCTCAGGTGGTAATGCTCACTCCCACTGCTGCTCACCTCCTGCTCTGTGGCCCAGTTCCTAACAGGCCACAAACCTATACCGGTCCATGGCCTGGGGGGTGGGGACCCCTGATTTAGATCATTTATATTAAATATAATTATTGATGTGTTATATTAAAATCTAATATCTTTACTAGCATTTTTAGATGCTTCATTACTTGGGCAGAGAACTTTCATGTGGGACAAAGCTTGTGGTGTTTGTCCCAGATCTTTTAAAGATGAAGGAAATTGTCTAGAAAGTCCCAGAAGTAATAAGTGCATTTTTAATTTAATGGTCTCTGAATGGGGCATTGGATATCACTAATATCAGAGTTTAGAATAAGAGTGAGTCCACCTGTCATAAACATATAAAAATTGACAAAGTGCTAATCATTAGGGATGGGATACATATTATTTATTCTAATAAAGAAGATAAGTAAGCCAAACACCTCAACATCTAATTATAGGGAAAAAAAACTAAAGAGAAGTTTAGATTCAGAGAGTGATTAGAGAAGACAAGGAATAATGGAATAGAAACATTCCTCAGAAGACTACTACCAATTGGGTATCAGTGGTTATATAAATTATGAATTTGAGAATTTAAGAATTACAGAATTTTGTTGTTAAATGGATACATGGGCCCTAATGGGGTTCTGACAAAGTTTAAACTGGTCTGTAATAAAATGAAAAAAATTAAAATGATAGAACTAAATTTTAAGAGACATGAATGCATTTAGTTAAAAGTCTGTTTTCTTCTAAAATGTCATACATACATATTTTTAGGTAGTGAAATTTCTTTCACTTTTGAAATGATGGTGAGAGTTAATAAATTGATGATAAATTATGGTAATAATTGGTAAACTTCTGTAAACCAAAAATATCTTTAAAAATTACTGATGCAGGAAGTTCAGGACTGGAAGAATCATAACAGAGGACAATATAAATGAAAAATAAATGTCAGTTTAAAGCCATAGAAAACCTATAACAAGATAGAAGATCATATTTGAAAACAAACTGTATGAAGAACAAGTGTGTACAAGTTTTTGCATATGATATTTTCTGTTTGCTTTCAAGTTTTGTTTACATTTTGGTTTACATATCACCAAAGTAATGTTACTGTATATGTAATTATAACTAGTTGACAAAATTGCATGATTAACATTTGTATCCATAGTCTTTATATAATCTATATGTTATTTATATGCTCATGGTTTAAGAGAAATGAGAAGGTTTATAATGTAACAATGAACATACTCTATATTGAAAATTTGTGGGATGGTGCTCAGGCTGTGTATAGAGAGAAACTTACAACTTTAAACTCTCATATTTGAAAAGAAGGAAGGCTTTTCTTTTATAAAGATAAACATGCACCTAACAAAGTTACAAAAAGAAAAGCATACCGAAAATAAAAAATAGAAATGACACTAAATTGTGCACTTAAAACAGGTGAATTTTATGGTATGTAAAAGTTTTTGAAAAACAAGAAAAAAAGAACATTAGTGAAGATATATTTGTGTGTATGTGTGTATGTGTGTGTGTGTGTGTGTGTGTGTGTGTGTGTGTGTGTGTTCTAATACAAATTTATTTCCAAAAGCAGGCTATGGGCTGGATTTGCCCTGACAGCAGTAGTTTGTTCACCCTGGTCTAAGTTATTCCTGATTTAAAAAATATATATAAAACAAAATAAAAAACAAACCTCAGCTCTCATAGAGTAACTTCCCAAAAGGTTATTTCTGGCAGTGCTAGATGTCTATTTTAGGTCAAAAGAATGACCCTGCTTTCATGGTCACTCGGGGCTTCAGGCTGACAGAGGCTCTATGTCAACAGTGCTTCCACAATCACCTTGGCAGAGAGATGAGAGACGGTTAAACTGCACACTGGCTCTTTTTTTTTTTCTTTTGAGAAAGAGTCTGGCTCTGTCACCTAGGCTAGAGTGCAGAGGCATGATCTCAGCTCATTGCAACCTCCGCCTTCTGGGCTCAAGTGATTCTCCTTCCTTAGCCTCCCAAATAGCTGGGATTACAGGCCCTGCCACCATGCCTGGCTAATTTTTGTGTTTTTAGTAGAGACAGGGCTTCACCACCATGGCCAGGCTGGTCTCAAACTCCTGACCTCAGGTGATCTGCCCGCCTCAGCATCCCAAAGTGCTGAGATTACAGGTGTGAGCCACTGCACATGGACACACTGGCTCTTAAGTTTCCACTTGGAAGTGAACCTGTCACTTTCAATCACTTTCAATTGGGCAATGCAAGTCACAGTCTAAGAAATGGAAACTAAACTAAAATTAATGAAGAAAATTTGTTTTCTGTAAAGATAAATCAAATTAATAAGTGAATGTGAGACTTATCAAGAAAAAAGAGAAAATAAAACAAATAATAGATGTCAAAAATGAAAAAGAAGGTGTCATTACATATCTTACAGGCATTAATAAGATAAAAAGAAGATATTACAAGAGTTTTAGGATAGCAAGTATAAAAATCTTAGAACATGGGAAAAGTATATATGCCAAATACAACAGTTGACTAGAAGGCATAGAAAACTGAATTGCCTTTTAACCTGCAATAAACTTAATCTATAACAATACTTCCTGTAAAGAGTTCCGTTCCAGTTGAATTTACCATTAGATTCTACCAAGCATTCAATGAAGAAATGAGAAGCTCTTTCGTAAATAAGAAGAAAAGGAATGTGCCAAATTGATTTTGTGGTCAGTTTTCTAAAATTTAAATACATTTTCAGTTTTAGAATAGTTTTAGATTTATAGAAATGTTGCAAAGATAATACAGAGAGCTCCCAAATATTCACCCAGTTTCTGCTATTGTTAACATCTTATATTACCACAATGCAGCCATCACAGCTAAATACATTGCTACTAAATGACTCTACACTTATTATTATTACTATTATCACCACTAGTTTTTCCTTAATGTTCTTTTCCTGTTCCAAGAGTCCATCCAGGATACCACATTACCTTTAGTTGTCCTGTCTCTTTAGGCTTCTCTGGTCTTTGACTGTGGCTCAGAATTTCTTCCTTTTTGATAAATTTGACAGTTTTTAGAAATACTGGTCAAATATTGTTTAGAATGCCACTGAATTTGAGTTTTTCTGATGTTTTTCATTGTTTGTCTTGGGTCGCAGGGTTTTGGGAGGAAGAAAACAGAAGTGAAGTGCCATTCTCATCAGATCATATCACAGGTTCATGTTATCAATATGATTTCTCCATAAAATCTGAAACATGACCTTATCAGGTTTATCCAGGTGAAATTATTTTTTAACTCCTTTCCACACACTTCTCTTTGGAAACAAGTAGCTAAATACAGCCCATGCTCAAGGGAGAGGGAGGTCAAGCTCCACCTTCTTCAGCAGGGAGTATCTGTATGAATTATTGGGAATTATTCTATATGGCACATCTGTTCTCACCAATTTTCCAATTTATTCAATTATTTATTCATATCATCATGGACTCATAGATATTTATTATATGTTGTATTATAATCCAATGCTATCTTATTTATTTTATTGCTCAAATTGTCGCAGCTTTGGTCATTTGAAGCTCTTTTAGACCGACTCCTGTGTTCTTTTAATATGACCCTATCCTTTTTTTTTTTTTTAAATACTTTAAGTTTTAGGGTACATGTGCACATTGTGCAGGTGAGTTACATATGTATACATGTGCCATGTTGGTGTGCTGCACCCACTAACTCGTCATCTAGCCTTAGGTATATCTCCCAGTGCTATCCCTCCCCCCTCCCCCCACCCCACAACAGTCCCCAGAGTGTGATATTCCCCTTCCTGTGTCCATGTGATCTCGTTCAATTCCCACCTATGAGTGAGGATATGCGGTGTTTGGTTTTTTGTTCTTGCGATAGTTTACTGAGAATGATGATTTCCTATTTCATCCATGTCCCTACAAAGGACATGAACTCATCATTTTTTATGGCTGCATAGTATTCCATGGTGTATATGTGCCACATTTTCTTAATCCAGTCTATTATTGTTGGACATTTGGGTTAGTTCCAAGTCTTTGCTATTGTGAATAATGCCGCAATAAACATACGTGTGCATGTGTCTTTATAGCAGCATGATTTATAGTCATTTGGGTATATACCCAGTAATGGGATGGCTGGGTCAAATGGTATTTCTAGTTCTAGATCCCTGAGGAATCGCCACACTGACTTCCACAATGGTTGAACTAGTTTACAGTCCCACCAACAGTGTAAAAGTGTTCCTATTTCTCCACATCCTCTCCAGCACCTGTTGTTTCCTGACTTTTTAATGATTGCCATTCTAACTGGTGTGAGATGATATCTCATTGTGGTTTTGATTTGCATTTCTCTGATGGCCAGTGATGATGAGCATTTTTTCATGTGTTTTTTGGTTGCATAAATGTCTTCTTTTGAGAAGTGTCTGTTCATGTCCTTCACCCACTTTTTGATGGGGTTGTTTGTTTTTTTCTTGTAAATTTGTTTGAGTTCATTGTAGATTCTGGATATTAACCCTTTGTCAGATGAGTAGGTTGCGAAAATTTTCTCGCATTTTGTAGGTTGCCTGTTCACTCTGATGGTAGTTTCTTTTGCTGTGCAGAAGCTCTTTAGTTTAATTAGATCCCATTTGTCAATTTTGTCTTTTGTTGCCATTGCTTTTGGTGTTTTAGACATGAAGTCCTTGCCCATGCCTATGTCCTGAATGGTAATGCCTAGGTTTTCTTCTAGGGTTTTTATGGTTTTAGGTCTAACGTTTAAGTCTTTAATCCATCTTGAATTGATTTTTGTATAAGGTGTAAGGAAGGGATCCAGTTTCAGCTTTCTACATATGGCTACCAGTTTTCCCAGCACCATTTATTAAATAGGGAATCCTTTCCCCATTGCTTGTTTTTCTCAGGTTTGTCAAAGATCAGATAGTTGTAGATATGCGGCGTTATTTCTGAGGGCTCTGTTCTGTTCCATTGATCTACATCTCTGTTTTGGTACTAGTACCATGCTGTTTTGGTTACTGTAGCCTTGTAGTAGAGTTTGAAGTCAGGTAGTGTGATGCCTCCAGCTTTGTTCTTTTGGCTTAAGATTGACTTGGCGATGCGGGCTCTTTTTTGGTTCCATATGAACTTTAAAGTAGTTTTTTTCCAATTCTGTGAAGAAAGGCATTGGTAGCTTGATGGGGATGGCATTGAATCTGTAAATTACCTTGGGCAGTATGGCGATTTTCACGATATTGATTCTTCCTACCCATGAGCATGGAATGTTCTTCCATTTGTTTGTATCCTCTTTTACTTCCTTGAGCAGTGGTTTGTAGTTCTCCTTGAAGAGGTCCTTCACATCCCTTGCAAGTTGGATTCCTAGGTATTTTATTCTCTTTGAAGCAATTGTGAATGGTAGTTCACTCATGATTTGGCTCTCTGTTTGTCTGTTGTTGGTGTATAAGAATGCTTATGATTTTGGTAAATTGATTTTGTATCCTGAGACTTTGCTAAAGTTGCTTATCAGCTTAAGGAGATTTTGGGCTGAGACAATGGGGTTTTCTACATATACAATAAAGGGGATATCACCACCGATCCCACAGAAATACAAACTACCATCAGAGAATACTACAAACACCTCTACACAAATAAACTAGAAAATCTAGAAGAAATGGATAAATTCCTCGACACATACACTCTCCCAAGACTAAACTAGGAAGAAGTTGCATCTCTGAATAGACCAATAACAGGATCTGAAATTGTGGCAATAATCAATAGCTTACCAACCAAAAAGAGTCCAGGACTAGATGGATTCACAGCCGAATTCTACCAGAGGTACAAGGAGGAACTGGTACCATTCCTTCTGAAACTATTCCAATCAATAGAAAAAGAGGGAATCCTCCCTAACTCATTTTATGAGGCCAGCATCATTCTGATACCAAAGCCGGGCAGAGACACAACCGAAAAAGAGAATTTTAGACCAATATCCTTGATGAACATTGATGCAAAAATCCTCAATAAAATACTGGCAAACCGAATCCAGCAGCACATCAAAAAGCTTATCCACCATGATCAAGTGGGCTTCATCCCTGGGATGCAAGGCTGGTTCAATATACGCAAATCAATAAATGTAATGCAGCATATAAACAGAGCCAAAGACAAAAACCACATGATTATCTCAATAGATGCAGAAAAAGCCTTTGACAAAATTCAACAACCCTTCATGCTAAAAACTCTCAATAAATTAGGTATTGATGGGACGTATTTCAAAATAATAAGAGCTATCTATGACAAACCCACAGCCAGTATCATACTGAATGGGCAAAAACTGGAAGCATTCCCTTTGAAAACTGGCACAAGACAGGGATGCCCTCTCTCACCACTCCTATTCAACATAGTGTTGGAAGTTCTCGCCAGGGCAATCAGGCAGGAGAAGGAAATAAAGGGTATTCAATTAGGAAAAGAGGAAGTCAAATTGTCCGTGTTTGCAGACCCTATCCTTTGATTATTAAGCAATTGCTTACTTTCTGGCACCACAAGATATTTTAGGCTTGTTTTAGGTGCTCCCTATACCAGCCCTAGAACACCAGAAAGAGAGAGATTAAGAGAACACATGCCACACATTAGTGGTAAATGTTATAGTGGATGAACTAAATCTTTAAAATGCTTGTAATTGTTATGGTGAAATGATATAAGAAACAAAACTAGCAAATGACTTTGAAATGTAGTTGAAGAAGAAACTTTCCATGTTAATCATATTCAGAAGGTACATCTTTAAGAATTCAGCAGAGTATGTACATGGATTATTCTTCTTGCATATCAAGACAATGAAAGCACTACAATTTGGACCAATTCCTAGATCTTTTACATTTCCCCTAAACTCCACAGGGCCCCAATAACAAAAAAGATGAACACATCAACAACAACAACAACAACAAAGCAAAAACCTAAAAACTTTTGTGTTGGAGTTATTTACTTAGGTCTTCTCCACTTCATAGAGGAAGCGTTGAGCTCCACTGTTGAGCTCCACAACAGTGGAATCTTATTTATCTCCGTCTTCCCAGTTCACTGCTGGTACACAGGAGCTTAGGAAATCAGACTTCCCCCATAGTTCAACTTTGAGTGCTCTGTTCTTCATCCAAACAAAGTGCATGTATAGTGTCTTGAAATGTTCTGTCTTTTCCAATTTCCTCCCATTCTGTTCACTCAAATTGCCTTCCCTACCAAACCTCATCCATGGAAATCCTACTTATTTACTGCTTTACTATTTACTTATTTACTACAAGACACTGCTTTATTCCTAAACTTACTCATGAATTTCCCCTGAATATTTGCTTCACCTTTCCCTCTCCTAAATTACATGTCAGTGTTTCTGAGTTTCTTATTCCAGACTTCCACACTATAGGACTTTTTTTTTTTAGTGTACTTGTCATATCCCCTTTTCAAGGAGAGGTTCTGAGTTCTTATCAATTCATTACCTAGTATATAATGAGTGTTCAACCCCTGGTTAAAGAACAAAATGAGACAGAAAACTGGCAATGCACTTTATTAGAATATGCTCGAAGGTCATTTTAAGGATCAAGAAACCAAAAGGAAGAAGATGTATATCTCATCACCTTAGTTTATTAGACTAGGTTGAGAAGCAAGTGAAAACGAAATTGTATTTGATTTATGTAGACTGTGTCTTCAGGCTTGGGAAATTTTCTATTATTGTAACATAGTCTTGAAGAGTCAGTGCAAGTGTTGCTGGCTTTGGACGAGGTGGCTTTGTAATTTTTTTACATGCTTCCAGTTCCTTGATATTGAGGCAACAGTATCTCCCATTTTCACATAGTGCCTCAGGCACTTCATTTACTCTGCAGATTTTCCTGCAATGTCCTTGTACATAGTTATTCCAGCACTTCTTAAGTTGTTCGGTTACTATACACAGAAAGGAGCAATAGAACAATATCAGTGTTTGAGACTGAAGGCACGTTGGTTTTGGGGAAGACAGAGGAGGCTTGTAGGAATTAGGGGTATGGGGTATCCACAAGGCAGACCCTCATATATTCTGAAGAGGATTTTCCGACAAGGTCAACCTCAGTGTTTGTATTTAACTGGATCACTTATATTTAGGTCCTGTGAGGTTTTAGGCCTCCCTTAACATCTGATAGACTCTGCCAAGAACATAAGATCTTATCTGAGAAAATAAAGGAGCTGAACCCTTGATTCTAGGCTATGGAACTATGCTCTACATAGGAACCTCAGCAAATCTGCCTGCATCCTGAATGCTCCCAGAGCACTACCTTCTACTGCACCTCCTCTGATGCCCAGAGAACAATGTATTGTTACTATGTGTTTATGTCTGAATCAAACTGTTCTCCTGAGTTCAAACCCACTATCAGGGTCAAGAATGACTTTCATGTTATCCAGTAAGGTAGTAGTCTATTGGGTCTTAGGAATGTAGAGGGTCAGGAATAGGCCATTACTATTCTTATAATAAGGGACACATGTAAGAAATCTGGTTTTGAAAGAGGAAAGGAAACTCTAATTTTTGAGTTCTCAGTATGTGCCAAGCTTCACATAGGTTATATCATTTAATAAAACCCCTGTTAACCAGGTGTCATTATCTCCATAGATGAGGAAACTGAGGCTCCTAGAGTCTTCACTACTTAAAGTTGACAAACTAGTAGATATTGAAGGCATGTTTCTTAAACCTAACTCCAAAATTTGCTTCTTCCTCTATTCATGCACACACACACACACACACACACACACACACATATATATATTTGAGTAAAAGGAAATATAGCTGAGCATCAGAGTAAAAACCATATCCAAAGACATAAAGGTATCCCTAGATATTGGCATCATTCCTTTCTATAACAACACATCTTTCCCAGAAGAAATTATGACCTCTTTTTAGCTCAGTGAGTACTCCTCTTTAAGGATAGTAACATGGAATAAGGCTCCAGAAAGAGGAAATTTCTGATGATGTTGGATAAACTTTAGCCATCTTTGGGGGCTCTATTTCCCTTTAGTGTGGATTATGAAGTTCCCTTTGGCTCCTGAAAATGCTCCATCCCACTGTTGATTTGAGTGAGCTTCTGGTTTGGTTTACCTGTGGGTTTCTGGAACAGCAGAATTGCAATGATCATGAAGAGCCCCATGGCCAGGCTTTCCAGAAGAGGTGCAGCCAAAGCTTTTGGTCCAGTGAACTGCACACTATGCTACCTTCCTCAGAGACTTAGATTCTTATGCACTGAACCAGAACAGATGGGATGATATGAAGTGTGTCCTTAAGCTTCTGAACTGTGAGCTTTGCATCATGCAGGCAGACACAGGAAATTTCAGGCCACCCACTTTACCCCCACATGGAATAGAGATACAGCATGTTCCATCCCATCGCACCAAATGCCGCTGTGTAGGCTGTAGACTGCTGGGAAGAATCTGTGATTTTCCTGCTTTGACTCTCTGCGCAGCCGGACCAAGATCGAAATGTACTCACCTCCAAGAATGAATGTGGCAGTATAAACCAGGACATAAATCTGAAACTCTAACAATAAGAATTTCTAGTAGGTTTCTTGCACATTTCGAAAGAAGGTATGATGTAGTTGGGTCTGATCTGAGGTCACCTGATTTTTTATAAAAGCACCAAGAACATACACTGGGGAAAGGATACCCTCTTCAATAAATCATGCTGGAGAAACTGGATTTCCATGTGCAGAAGAATATATATTATGTATATATATATGTACACACATATATACATATATATGCACACAATGGAATACTATACATACATAACACACAATGGAATATATATATATATATATACACACACACACACAATGGAATACTATTCACCCATAAAAATAATGAAATTCTGTCCTTTGCAACAACATGGATAGCCTGGAGGACATTATGTTATGTGAAATGTCAGGCACAGAAAGATTACCACATGTTCCTATTTATATATGGGAGCTAAAAAAGTTGAGCACATGGAAGTAGAGAGTAGTGTTGCAGATATTAATATTAGAGGCTGGTAATGATTAGGGAGAGGGGAGGATGGAGAGAGATTGGCTAATGGATGCAAAATTATAGATAGGAGGAATGACTTCTGGTGTTGTAGCACTGTAAGGTGAATATGGTTAACTACAATTTATTGTATACTTTTAAAAGGCTAGAAGAGAGGATTTTGAATGTTCCCAATACAAATGATAAATGTTTGAGGTGACGGATATGCTAATTACCCTGGTTTGATCATTACACATTATATGCATGTATTGAAATATCACTTTGTATCCTATAAATAAGTACAATTATGTGTCAACTAAAAATAAAAGGAAAAATGGCTAAAATGGCCAATGTTATGTCATATATTTTACCACAATTAGAAGAAAAAGATGCATGAGGGTATTTTTTTTCTACCAGTTGTACCTTGTCTTTGAAAATATTAAAATGTTGCCACAAGGAATCGATGTTTACCTAGATCATTCTTTGATCATTGATTGCAGTTTTCAAAAAATTTCAACCCTGTTAACCACTGAGATGCATTAAATAAATAAGCCAGTTGGCTTAGAGATGAGCCCTATGGCCATTATTCAGGTCACGTAGTGGTTTTACACAAGAATATGTTTAAACAGAGAGATGTTGACATATAAGAAATCCTTTTTAGAGGCAAATGTAAATTTAAGAGCAGTTACCTCAGAGGTCTCAAGGGTCACCTCCCTTTACTTTTGCCACCAGCTTTTACATGGTTTAAGTCCTAGTCAAGGGATTGGTTTTATTATTTATAGTCTTCCTGTGAATGCAAACTTTCCTTATAGGTGACTTGGTGGTGGAGCATCAAATAAAGACCCTAAGTCTGAGCAGTCAGGAGAAATACAAAAAGCCTTCCTATTAAAGTTGTATTTCTGAAGCTGGATGTTAAATTAGTAATAATAAATATAAGGATAGGAATGGGTCCTAAGAGCAAGGACAAATTTTTAATAAAACAAATAAAAATAAAATTATAATATTCATATTAGCAGAAGAACATATGATCCATCCAACAGAAACTAAAAAAAATGAGGAATAGATAAGTCACAACTGGAGGGCAGAAAAAAGTCCTAATAGATCAGTAGTTATAATACATTCACATGGCTTAAACTCACTGATTAGATGACAGAGATTCATTATTGGATTAAAAAAAGATTTCAGCAATATTAGACAATAAGACACATATATAGTAGACTGTTATTAATAGAATATAGTAGAATAGATATATTGAACAATGTATCTGGTGAAAATAACCAAAAAAGTTGGGTAAATGTAAAAAGGAAATTACTGCATTGAGAAACCGTCAAAAATGAAAGGAATCTGCACAGGCCAAAAACTAAGATTGCAAACCCTGAAAGATAAGTTGAACATTATTTTGATGGCTATGTGAGATGTATAAAGCTAAGATCTAGTCCTAGGGAAGACATATAATTGATACCCTTATATAAACCTGAGATTCAAAGGCAACAATCTCAGCCTAAGGAAGAATGAAATCTCTCTCTCTGACACGAGTGTATACATACACACACACACAGATTAATCTGTATTAGATTGTATTTTGTCAGCATTAACCTTGGCTCTGGATGGAGAAGGTAAATATTAACCCTATGAACTGTAGCCACAAATTCTCATGGGTTTCAACCTAAGTTCAAGCTATTTATATGGATTAAAAAAATCAAGTAAATAATTTAATTATAAGAAATCTCAGTTGTTAATTCGCTAGTTGTTTAGTGGAAGCAGATGTGAATCTTTTCTTCATATATCCAAGGCACCCAAGAATTCCTAAATATGAAATTCCAATTAAAATGAGAATCTTACAGGTTAAAGTTATAAAAACAGAATGAAGTATGGTCCCATGAGTCTGAATCATTTGAAGGTCCAGACATTAGAAAGAGAACAAAACACAACAATGACAATAACAAATGGCTAACCCTTGTATAACACTTTCTATGTGCTGGCACTCCTGTCGGTGTCTTACATACATAAACTCATTTACCTTTACAGCAACACTTTGAGGTAGATATTATTATCTCCATTCTACAAATGAGAAACTCAAAGGCACAGAAAACATAAGAAACTTGCTCAAAATATTATAGAGCACATATCAAGTGCTTTACAACCACATGACCAGTGGCTAACATATTGTATAGTACAGATTTAGAACATTTCCATCTTTTTAGTTACTTCTATTGGAGAGCACTTCTCTAGAGGCTGAAAGTTCACTACTGTACTATGCGTCTAATACTAGATTATCAGATCCTTCTTAGATTCATTTAACCATCAACAAATCAAAATACAGAATTATTCATTATGAAAAGATCTCCCTCTCTTATTGTCTTACTGGCATATTTCCCTCCCTCTCCTGACTATTCATAACCCCTGGAAAGCACTAATTTGTTCTACATTTCATAATTTTTAGACAATGTTATGTGAATATAGTCACACACTATGTGACCCTTTGTCTTTTTTCATCACTCAGCATAATGCTCTTATAATCTATATAAGCTGTTGCATGTATCAATAATTCATTTTTTTTTTTTTTTTTACTGCTGAGAAGTATTCCATTGTATGGATGTACCACCCTATGTTAGTCATTCACCTGTTGAATGACGTTTTGGTTGTTTACTCTTTTGGGCTATTATAAATAACACTACCATTGATATTCCTGCCCGGGAGTTGTGGAGAAAAACACTTTCATTTCCTTGGCATAAACACCAAGGAGTGTATTCCATTGTTGTTGGATGAAATGTTTTATAAATGTCTATTAGATCCTGTTGCTTTGTGGTATTTTTAAATTCTTCTACACCCTTGTGGATTTTATGTCTAGTTGTCCTATCTATCAACTGTTGAAGTTGATATTGTAATTTTTTTTTTTTTTTTTTTTTTGAGACGGGGTCTCGCTCTGTCACCCAGGCTGGAGTGCACAGCTCACGGCAGCCTCGATGTCCTGGGCTCAAGCCTTCCATGTCAGCCTCCTGAGTAGCTGGGACAACAGGCGTGGGCCACCACACCTTAGTTTTTGTATCTTTTATAGAGAGGGGGGTCTCACTATGTTGCCTCAGGTGATCTCAAACTCCCAAGCTCAAGTGATTTGCCTGCCTCAGCCTCCCAAAGTGCTGGAATTACAGGGATGAGTCACCACGCCTGGCCTGATATTGTAAATTTATTTCTCCTCTTAGTTTTATCAGTTTTTGCTTCAGGTATTTTGAAACTCTGGTTTTCAGTTTGTGGACGATCAGGGCTGCCATGTCTTCTTGGTTGATTGACCCTTTTGGCATTATATAATTTCCCTCTCTGTCCTTGATAATTTGTTTTGCTCTGAAGTCTGCTTTAACTGATGTTAATATAGCCATTCCTACTTTCTTATGATTAATATTTGTATGGGGTATCTTTTTGATACATGTTAGGGATTAAGTTACCATTTTATATTTTGTTTTCTATTTGTTCCTTAGAATTCCACTATAATTTAGCTATAATTTCTTATTGTATTTATTTATTTTTTTTAGTGGTTGCTGTACCTAACTTATCACAGTCTACGGTGTCAAAGTTTTACAAGTTTGAATGAAGTATAAAAACTTACCTCACTTTAAATTTCTTTGCCTTACCCAGCTTATAATGTTTAAGTACTTCCTCTACATCTATTTAGAACCACATCAGACAATGTTACAATTTTTGCTTCAATCTACCAAACATGATTTCAAAACTCTTTAATAAAAAGATAGTCTCACTTTGGGAGGCCGAGGCAGCAGATTGCTTGAGTCTAAGAGTTCGAGACCAGCCTGGGCAACACAGTGAAACCCTGTCTCTACAAAAAAATATAAAAATTAGCCGGCTCCTGTGGTCCCAGCTACTCACTGGGCTCAGGAGGGAAGATCCTTTGATCCCAGGAGGTCGAGGCTGCAGTGAGCTGAGATTGTACCACTGCACTCCTGTCCGGGCGACAGAGCCAGACACTATCTCAAGAAAAGAAAGCATAAAAAAAAAATAAAGCAAAAAAAAAAGCATAGTCTATTATATTCACCTCCCATTTTACCCATTCTATTGACTTCGACTTCTTCCTTTCTGAAGTTCCAAGCCCCCGGTTATCATTTTGGTTTAGAGAACTTTCTTTGACTATATTTTTAGGATAGGGCTGCTAGTGACAAATTCCCTTAATAGTTTCTTGTTTGAGAATGTTTTTCTTTCCCTGTTTATTCCTAGAGAACTTTTTTTTTTTTTTTTTTGCTAGATATAGGATTTGGATTTGATAGTTCTTTATTTTGGCATTTGAAACATGTGATGACATTTCTTTTTTGCTTCCATGGTTTCAGATGACAAATCCCATCAATCAAACCATTGTTTTACCATGGGTGGTGTATTGTTTCTGAATGCTCGCTTGATTTTTTTCTGTCTCTAGCTATTAGTTTTAGTTTGATTATACTTTATCTTGGCATGGATTTCTTTGGGTTTATCTTGTTTTGGGTTAATTCAAGATCTTGAATTACAGATGTATGTATTCTGCCACACTTGGGATATTTTTCAGGCATTATTCCTTCAAATATTTTTTTCAGTTCCACACTCTCCCTCTCCTTGAGGACTCTGATGACATGAACATTAGATCTTTTTATGTCCCACAGGTATCTGTGGCTCTGTTCATTTTTATCAGTCTATTTTTCTCTGTTTTTAGATTGGGTAATTCTATAGATCTGTCTTATTTTTTCCTCTGTCATGTTCCATCTACTATTGAGCCTATACAGTGACTTTTTCTTTTTTACTTTGATTACATTTCATAAATTTATAATTTCCATTTGATTATTTTCATATCTTCTATTTCTTTTTCTTTTTTCTGTTTTTCTTTTTTTGAGATGGAGTCTCGCTCTGTCACCCAGGCTGGAGTGCAGTGGCATGATCTTGGCTCACTGTAACCTCCGCCTGCCAGGTTCACGCCATCCTCCTGCCTCAACCTCCCAAGCAGCTGGGACTACAGGTGCCTGTCACCATGCCCCACTAATTTTTTGTATTTTTTTTTTTAGTAGAGACGGGGTTTTATCATGTTAGCCAGGATGGTCTCGATCTCCTGACCTCGTGATCCGCCCTCTTCGGCCTCCCAAAATGCTGGGATTACAGGCGTGAGCCACCGTGCCTGGCCTATATCTTCTATTTCTTTGCTGAGATTTTACTAGTTTGTAGTTTGTTTCAAATGTATCCATAGTCCCACTAATATATTTTTGCTTTTGTTGCTTGTGGTTTTGATGTCATATTCAAGCAACTGTTGCCTAGACCAAAGTCATAAAGATATTCCCTTCTGTTTTATTTTAGGAGTTTTAAGTTTGCCAGGCTCACATTTAAGTCTTTAAATCCATTTTGAGTTTGTGTGTGTGTGTGTGGTGTAAGATAAGGATCCATTTCATTTGTTCTGCCTGTGGAAATCCAGTTTTCCCAACACCATCTGTTGAAGTGACTATCATTTCTGTATTGCATATTCTTTGTATTATCATTGAAGATCATTTGTTGCACAGCAAAGGAAACAGTCAACAGAGTGAGAAGGCAGTTTATGGGATGGGAGGAAAATACTTGCCCACCATATATCACATAAGGTTAATATAAAAAACATATAAGAAACATACACAACTCAGTAGCAAAAAACAAAGAGCCCACTTGAAAATTGGGCAAAGACATGAACAGAAATATTTCTGGAGAAGAAATAAAAGTGGCTAACAAGTGTATGGAAAGGTGCTCAACATCACTAATCATCAGGGAAATGCAAATCAAAAGCACAATGAGAAATCACTTCACACTTGTTAGGATGACTATTATCACAAAGACAAGAGATCACAAGTATTGGTGAGAATGTAAAGGGAACTTTTGCGCACTGTTGGTGGAAATGTAAATTAGTACAACAATGATGTAAAACAGTATGGAGGCTTCTCAAAAAAATAAAAACAGAACTAGTATATGAGCCATCAATCCCTCGTCTTGGTATATACCAAAAAGAAATGAAATCGGCACCATGTAGAGATATCTGTGCTCAGCATTATTCACAATAGCCAAGATATGAAATCAACCTAAGCTGATAGATGAAGACATTATCATCTATCGACATCGATAGATGAACACACTAAATAAATTGTATATATATACAATGGCATATTATTCAGCCTTGACAAAGGAGAGCTTGCCATTCAGAACAACATGGATGAACCCAGAGGACATTATGCTAAGTGAAATAAGACAGACACAGAAAAAAAGTACAGCATGATCTCACTTATACATGGAATTTAAAAATTCAAATACATAGAAGAGTGTAGACCAGTGATTATCAGGGGTGGGGCGGGTGGTGGAGGAAATGGGGGGATGCTCGTCGAAGGGTACAAAGTTGAAGTTGTGTAGGATAAAGTCTAGAGAGCTAAAGGGCAGTATGGGGACTCTAGTTAATAATATGGTGTTGTATACTAGAAATTTGCTAAGAAGATGGATTTCAGGTGCTGTCTCCTCAAAAAATGATAACTATGTGAAGAGAAGGATATGTTAATTTGATTATAGCAATCATTTTACTATGTCTATGTATATCAAAACATCATATTGCATATATCCTTAAATATATACAAGTTGTTATTTTAAAAATCTAGGTGGTATTCCCCACTGCAGTTCTATTCTCAAACCTTCTGCATGTTAATTCTGGTTAGTTCCGTGTGTAGTTATCCAGTTTCAGGGGTCTGCCATGTCTTCTTATTCAGTTTTTAAAATTGTGGTAAAAACAACATTATTCAGTTTTAAAGACACCTATTTTCCAGCACCCTCCTATCCTCTATCCTCACTGACTGGAAGGAGGGTTGATGCCAGCCACGGCTCCCTAGGGATTGAAGTTGAGACCACCCCTTGGTCTTCAATGGTAATGTACTGGCTGGGAAGGGAAGTCTGCTTCAGGCCTTTTATACTATTGGAAGGAAGGGCAATTTCAGTCTCCCCTCAGTTTTCACTGACATGGCACCAGCAGGGAAGGGATTCCTCCCCAGGCCAATCACTACCACTGGTTGAGGGATGGGAGATCTGACTCCCAGCTAGGTCTCTACTGCTAGGTCTCTACTGCCACCGCACAGGCAGTGAAGGGGAATGTTGCTCTGGGCTGCTTCATATGACTGCGTGGGAGCTGGATGCCCAGCCTTTCTTCTAGGTCTCCATTACCAACAAAGGGGAGGAGCGCCATCTTCACCTGTCTGCAAGCCCCATGTGGGAGGTAAGAGTTCAGACTCTCCTCTTAATTTCCACTGACACCTCAAAGAAGAGTGTCCATTGTGTTTAGCTAGGTTAAGGTAAGTATTATGAAAAAGTGCCCAGGAATCTTACTCTCACCTCAGGAGAGAAGTCAGACTTTTGAATGAATATCCAATTGGGATTGAGTATCAGTGACTGGTGAAATCTAAATCTCGTTTAATTTATTTAAGGCAAAAATTTATTCAGCTTTGAGGACGTCGTCAGGATTCGCATGAGATGGGGTAGAGATGCGGCCTTGAGAACAGGTAAAATTGCCTCCCAAATATGGGTCAGGATTCGCATGAGATGGGGTAGAGATGCGGCCTTGAGAACAGGTAAAATTGCCTCCCAAATATGGGTCAGGATTCGCATGAGATGGGGTAGAGATGCGGCCTTGAGAACAGGTAAAATTGCCTCCCAAATATGGTTGTTCTTGTGCAAGACCCTTTTTCTCCCGGAAACTCAGGACTTACATATTTTATTTTTTAAACGTTTCATATTTTAAACCAGAATAACCTATATCTCATATGCCTTTTAAAATCTACATTTCTTAGAATTTCATTGGTGCTAGAGATCACGGTGACCTATATGCCTTATCTATTTTAATTTTTAGAGTGATTCTAAGAGGTAGATGCATGATTATACCTGTCTTGCAAATGAAGAAATTGATATAGAGACCACATGATGAGTAAAAGTAGTAAGGAACAAACCTAGATGTAACCCTAGATACATTTTACTCCAGGTTCCTCAGCTTTAATCATGTTGTCATAATTATCATACAATGCTTTTGTTTAAGAAATTGTGTATTAATGTGCTTGGCACATTGCAGTTTCTCTCACCATAAAGATTCCTTTTCCCTTGGCCTCCTAATGCCATTAGTCAACTCCAAAGTGGGAAAAGAATATTTGCCACCTAAGTTCCAGCACTGCGTGAAGGACGGATGAGATATAAGGCAAGAGGACAGGAGGACAATGTTTCAGGCTGCAGCACTGAGATTATATTCATCGTCTAGAATCAATGTGATAATAGCTCTAAGATGTTTCCAAGGTAGTGATCAAGGTGATTATTGAAAAGTAAGCACAGCAAGTTCTACTAGAACCTTTAAAATCTCATCTGGCTGTTCAAAGAGATCCCATGACCCTCAACTCTGTTACACTCTTCTCAGCCTAATGCGTCTTCCCCCAGGTGAAACATAGGCTATAATCACCCATACTCAGGCAAGACAGCCAAGGCCCAGTGGGCAGGGCCCTGGGGAAATGTGCTGTACTGTTTCTTATCCAGGGAACAACCTGTTACAGCTGAATCCCTATGATATGATTAACATTTTAATAGATTACTCTGGCAACCCTCAAAGTACCTTGAGTGGGAGTGAGTATTTTCTCTGTTCTTCAAATTCAGTAACAGGCTCGAAGATGGGAAATCATTTGTCTGTGGTCCAAGAGTGGATATATGGTGGGATCATGAATGACCTCAGATACATCCAGCTCTAAAGTTATGTTTTTTTCCTACTATTCTCCTCTGCTGAAGTAACTTGCTTCCATCTGCCCACCTTCTTGTGTGAGTTCATGAGTTCTGCCTGCAAAGATAAGCATGGGTGTAAGAGGCAATGATGTCCTACCACATGGGACAAGCCACCTCTCAAAACTCCTCTACTATGTAATGACATAGATCATAGATATGTCTTCTAAAGGAGACAGAAGCCTGTTTCCTGGAGAAGATCTAAAATAAATAAAAATGAGATTTCAGTAACATCCAAAGATCTTTCTGGCCTTCGAGAATCCCTCTTACTTATTCAACAAGAATTAATATAGAATCTTGTTAGGGGATGGTAGGAGAAAGAGAAGATAAGATGGTTCCTGTTCCTAAATAAAATTTCAAAGTCCAGTAGGGGAGAAGACATAAGCAGATATTCAGAGTGAGGCATGTGACATGATGACTTAAAATTCTGGGTAAGTCATAACAGTGGAGCACAAATGGTGGCAGTAGTTCTATTGTGGGTAGAACAGTGTGGTTATCAAAGTCCTCCAGAAGAAAATAAAGATTTTTTTCCAGGCAGTTATAAATGGAGACAGAAAAGTATGTACAAAAACTCAAAACCAGAAGCAATCCAGTGAGTTCAAACCAATCACGAAGAGGTATGTTGGTGGGATAGCAAGATGCCCTGTGACAGTGCTTTGGAGGTAAAACTGGAAACGCAAGGCAGGTTCTGAATGCCAAGAGTGATGAAGGCTGCTCTGAAGAGTTGTCTTAGGATGCTATGGGAAAAGATGCCAGAGGGGAGTCTAATGATTAGATCTGTGTTTCAGAAAAATGATTCTGGCTCTCATTGTGGAGGATAGTTAGGCGTGAGTGTGAAAGGAATGCAGGGCAATCAATGGGAAGGCTATTGCAATCATCCTAGCAGCAGCTGGAGATAGAGGTCATGGTACATATTGGAGGTGGTAGAATGAACATGGATCTTCACTGGAATCAAGTGAAGAAGGAAAAGGAGTCTGTGATGACACTCATGGATTTGTGTCTATAGTGGAGAAAACCCTTCCACCAATGTTTTCTCCAACTTTTATATATCTACATTAAATCTCTAGGATCTTATGGGGTCAAAGGTGAAGTTGACCCCACAAAACATAAGCCAATCTTATATCTTCAGAATCAGAAAGATGTACTATGACAGGGGTGGGGAGAAAGATACTGAGTAAAACGCTAGCATTTCATAAGTGAGCAAACTGAGATGACAAAGACAAACACAGCTACTGTAAGTGTCCAGAAAGCGAAGGCATCTGCATTCCCTATTCTCCCTGTCCAACTATCAGGGAAGTGGGCCTGAGGCATGGATGGATGACTATGATACACCCAGTCATATTCTCTTATTGGTGCAGGCAGAGCATCAATGTAATGTAATGTACGGAAAACATTCTATTGCTTGGGATGAGTGCCTGTCCTAACATTCAGGACACATTATAGAGCTCTTGATCTCCCTTTCATCATATTTAAGTTGGAAGCTATGAATGAGGATTTCCAGGGTGAGAAGAAAATTGGGCAACCTCATGGTGCAGTGACAGAATGTTCTCAGTAGTCAATTTAGTCTGTCCCAGTCTTCTAATGCTTAGAAATCAAGTTTCCTATTCTCTAAAGTGAGGTTATAATACCTACATTCTCAGGTTGTTGTCGGAGGATTCTGTAGGATGATTTTGTATTACTATCTACTCCAAAACTACATAGGAAATGCAGCCTTCAATCTGTAGAAAATCACATTCACAGTCGGCTTTCAATCCTTTCATATTATAAGCTAATTGTTCTCACAGTGTGGTGCCTGGACCAGCAGCCCTAGCATCACCTGGGAACTTGTGAGCAGTGCAAATTCTCAAGCTCCCCTGCAGAATTGGAAACTAAAAGTGAGCCCTAGAAATCTGTGCTTTAGCCATCTCTCCAGGTGTTTCTGATGTACATGAAGTTTGATGATAATTGCTATGGCAAGCTGTGGGCCTAGAACTGTCTTCAAGGAGGACATTGCTACTATCTATCATTCCTGAGTGGGTGTTTTGGACTAACCCTCCCTTGTTCCTGGCCCCTATCTTATTTGCATTTCTACCATAGAAATGCGAGTGCAGTGAAATTGTGGTGCCCTTCCAGACACTGTTGAATGGAGGGAAAGTGGGAAGGGGGCTGTAGAGAGAAAACTGACACCAGAATAAGCCTCTTTGCTTTAATGAGTCGGGGATCCTAGAGCAGGAGACAGAGGCTGGAATGTTCAACCAGTGGGAGAAACGGGGGTAGGAGCCATCGAAGACATCGAAGCAGTAGTCATCATCAAAGTTGTTGTTGCTGTTGTTGCTGTTACTGTTGAAATTCTTGTAGTCTTTGTCTGGACACAGAAAACAGGATAATTAGCACGTCTGTCAGCTGGAACACAGCAGTCCCTTTGTTTGCCGCACATTGCCCAACCATTCTTTACATGCATCTCTTCAGGTTTGCACTTCTTCTTGCAAATTCCAACGTCGTTTAGACACTTTTTCACATACCAATTACCTGAATAAAGGAATTATATAGATTATTAAGCCTAAGTATTTATCACAGGAGGATAAAAAATAGCAATAGTTTTTGAGCACTGTTTATTCAAGTGCCTTTCCAGTTGCTTTAGCATGTTTTTCCTAATCATAAATACCTACTTTGAGGATTAAGTGAAATTTTATAAACACACATAGAATTCTTTAGATATGTATGAGATTCTCATTTCTGAAATCAGAATTCTGTATACAAACACTTACCAGGGGCCAATTCCCCATGATTTTAAATGGGAAAATATATAGCATGTTGTTATACATGAACACAAAATCCCCAAGCAATTTCCTAAAATGTAGCTAAAACACAAACACCTAAACAGAAGTAAAAACTATCATTTCAAAAATAAGAAATGCTAAAATAATTGCTGTCATCTTTCTCACCATTACTGAAACACATATGGCTTTTGTTGCCAATTGGTGAGATTTTCAAAATGTCCCTTACATGTTTCTGAGATCCTAAAAATTATATTTAGAAGATAACTCTAGGCTTATCTTACATATTATCTGGTTAAAAATGTCATGTCAAGTTATGGAAAGATAAATAAAAAATTTTCATCTATACCTATATACCTATATGATATTGAGATATAAGTACATTTTACAAAATTTTGAGAATAAAAAAAGCCATTCCATTAGGAATATATTCATTAGGGAGACATTCTGCAGGGTTTGCCTATATATGTGTACATATTATATACATATGAAAATATCTCATCACATGGTTTAACACATAGAGGCCCTAGAGTGACGCTGGAGCTCTTTCTTACCTTGCTTAACTCATTACTGTACTTAATCAACAAGTATATGATGAGTGCCTACCATGTCAAGAATTCTGCAAGATGCAGGGAATAAAACAATGAACAGAAAGACATGATTTGAGGACCTTACATTGGAGAGGGGGAGAAAGAAAATAAACAAGTAAATGAATAAACAAAATAACTACAGATTGTGATAAGTACAATAAATGAAAGAAATATGAGGTAATTGACAGTAAGTGAACAGAGCAAACGTTTTTGAATGCTATTACCACTACTATTATCCCTTATCAGCTGTTTAATCCTCCTCTGATGATTGAGTTTTTAACATTATATATATGTATATGTTAGAATATATATACACACACACAAAGTGTAGAAAAAGGACAACATACAAGTATGTGATGTATGTCGATGTATGTCACTAATGTTCCAGAGACAGAGGGAGAAATCAGGCAATTTAAACTCATAGAATTTCAAGGATGCAATAGGCCTGAAACATCTTTTGAGACAACCATGAGAGCATTATAATTTCCTCTTATCCACTATCAATTTGAACATTTCTGCAAATTAGGGAATATAAACTACTATCTCTAGAGGCGGGCTATGGAGTTATTATATAACCCATTAGGAAATTATACTAAAGAATATTAGTTTATTTCATTGTGCCTTATGTAAAAAGGTGGGATTGAGTCCGGTGTAAAAAACAAAATCATAGGTGAATAACTGTTCTCAACACGGAGAAGGACTTACTAAGTTAGTGGAAGAATGCAAAGAAAACACCAATAGATTTGACATGAAAATGAAAATTATGTGTCTCAAATAAATAATGCATTTTAGAAGCAACCAATATGTTTGAAAATATTTGCAAGAAATATGAAATACAAATGTTAAAAATACAAATACTCCAATAGTAACCATTGGCAATATGTGCCAGTTAACTTAGAAGAAATAATACCCTTGTACCAAGCAATGGAACTTCTAAAATTTACCTATACAAACAGAGAATCTCACAATGATATATTAATAAGGTTGTACAATGTTATTTACAGTACTCACACATTAGAAAAAATAATCCAAATGACACACAATTAAGGACTTTCCAAGTTAATATTGGTACAAAAATATGACAGAATTATAAGCATCTACTGCAAATTGTATTTTCAAGGAATATTCAAGACCTGTGAAAATTTTCCTGATAGAATCGTAGGTAAAAAAATAAAGCAGGTTATAAGCTCATATATCAGTTGGTTACAAGTGAAAAAATGCAAGCAGTGATGAAATGTGGCCAATTTATTTCTAAATAACTTTCAGTGTTCTTGTCTTGGTTTTGTAAATATAAGCTACAGAATAAATTAAAAATAAGAAATGCTTACACAAACAGAGCTGAAATCTGATATAGACTTCCAATAGTTCCCACACAGAATTTTTTTTTTCATTTTCCATTTTACAGTCCTATACATATATAGAAACAGCCTTTCCTGTTCTGTTAACCACATCCAAGAACAAACAAACAAACAAAAAATCAGAGACCTCTCTGTAAGACCAAGAAAACTGGGGGAAGTAATATTATATAATTGTTACCTCAGGAGGGAATATCGGCAGCAAAAAAAACAAAAGTGAAATGAGGCAGGGCTTGACTGGACTGACCCGAAGTGACAGGATAGAAGTTTGGGATTTCAAGATCATTTCTACCTTTGGAGGCAACTGTATGGGATTTGCCTTACCCTCCTCCCCAGCTCCGATCACAGATCCTGCTCTATCCTGAGAGCCTTCAAGTTTCTTAGAACAGAGGTGGTCTGAAGAAGTAGGACAAATCTCAGCCCTGCTCCCAGTGAGAAGCCAGACCCCATTTCCACAGACCACTTAGAAACAGGGACTCCATGTGCAGGACCCTGTTCCAGGCCAGTGTTTCTTCTTCCCCAAGATTCTGTTTACCTGAGACCAATTGGGCCAGGAGCATAAAAACTGCAAGGGTGAACAGTAGGGACTTCATCAGGAGGCAGTGGGTTCTATAGAGTCCAGAAGTCTCTATTCAGTATGACTCTGAACACAGATCTTTATTGTCCTTCTTAGGTGGGGTTGGGCTCAGCCAGTAGATCGGGAGGATGTAGGATATTGTGCCAACATAGCTTCAATCTATTGGCTAGCAACTCTAATTGAGGCATCACTGTTCAAGAGTCCTGTGCTAGGCATGCCTTGGGGGAAGGATAAAGACTTAGAAGAGAAGTTGCAAACTCTGCTGAAGTGTATGGCAATTTGGAGAGAAAGAATTACAGGAAGAAATTATGCTGCTCTACCAAGGCTGGGTGCTCCTAGCAGTTTTTTCACAGCCTCCAGTGTTAGTTCTATCAGGGTTCATCTTACTGCATGTAGCAGTCTGGTCACCTGCCTGTCTCTCCACCTAAAATACAATGTCTTTCTGAACACTTATGATGTATTATTCATATATATATATAATTCTTTTCTGTACATCATTCTTTTCAGAGAAGGATATAAGCAATTGTTTTTTAACTGACCAAATTAATGCTTTGTTGATGATCTGGAAATTTAGAAAGCCTTTTACAAAGAAATAAATAAGTGCTCAAAGATAAATGCACAAAGAAGTCTTGTCACTCTGTAGAGTAGCATAAAACGAAGTGCATCCATATGATTTAATTCTGTGCTTCTGTTAAAAAGAGTGCAGCAGATTTTATCTTACTAAACATTTTTTGAGTGAAAAAGCAACATTTTAGAACAACATGCATAGCAATGATTCTAATTTATGTGAAAAAGCTATATTTATGTGTATATAAGTAAATGCATGAACTAAAAATGCAAATCACATGTCATTCTAATAAAAGTTGTTTTCTCTGGATGGGATTGAGTTTAAGGTGGCATTCAAAGAGAATTTTATTGTGTTAAAGTTTTTTTTTGAGTGCCTGACTATATTGTGACTGAAAGCTATCAGGTCCTAGAGGTTTTGTTCTTTGTGAGGAGTTTTTTTTTTTCATTCCAAATTATTGAGATATAATTGATGTACATTAAACTGCATTATTTAGAGTGTATAATTTGATGAACTTGGCAAAAGATGCACTGGTGAAACCATTACCTTAATCAACATAATGTATATATCCTTCACTCTCAAAATGTTTCTCATTCCTCTTTGGCATCCACTCTTTCCTCTTCCCTTCCCTCCCTCTACCTCCATGATACCCAGGCAACGACTGACCTGCTATTTGTTCTTGTAGCTTTCTTGGCATTCTCTTGAATATTACATAAATGAAGTAATATAGCATGTATACTTTTCCGCTTGTCTTTTTCCATCCAAGGCAATTATTTTGAATCATATATGTTTCGTGTACCAATAGTTCATTCCTTTTTATTGCTTGTATTACTTTTTATGCATATATGATCATTTATCCATTTACCCCCTAATGAACATTATGATTGTTTTCAGATGTTAGCTATTACAAATAAAACTGCCATTGAAAATTTGTGTGCAACTCTTTGTGTAGCCATATGCTGTCATTTCTCTTGGATAAACAGCTAGATGTACAATGGCTGAGTCACAGGGTATGTGTATGTTTTACTTATTAAATATGCATATACTATGCTTTTTTCCTTTGAAAATTGCCCTTTCTCTCTGTCCTAAGAGGTCTCAGTGTTGTCCTTGTCAAACTGATAAGTAAATGTTCCATGTTAATTATGGATGTAATAAACCTTTGTGTTCCATAGTTACTGTAAATATTTTTTTCTGGCATGCAAAAAAAAAAAAAAAAAAAAGAGAAAAGAAAAAAAAAAAAACGAAATTACCAAATTGTTTTCCAAAGTGGAAAACAATTTATACTCCCACTAGCAATATTTGAGAGTTTACTTTTTTCCCCACATCTTTACCAATACTTAGCATAGTTTTTGTTTTTGCTTTTTTAGTTTTAGCTATGTGTTTTATTTACTTTTGTTAAATTTTAATTTTTTTATAGATTTAGAAGTACAAGCGCAGATTTGTTACATGGATATATTGAGTAGCAGTAAAGTATGGGCTTTTAGTGTAACCATCATCAGAATATTGTACATTGTACCAATTAGGTAATTTCTCATCCCTCTTAGGTCTAGTAGTATTTGTTTTATGAATCTGGGTAGTCTTGTGTTAGGTGCATATGTATTTAGTAGGATGGTTATATCTTCTTGCTGAATTGATCTTTTTATCATTGTATGATGACCTCCTTTGTTTTATTTTACTGTTGTTGATTTAAAGTGTGCTTTATCTGATATAAGTATAGCTACTCCTTCTCTCATTTGGTTTCTGTTTGCGTAGAACATCTTTTTCCACCCCTTTACCTGAACTCATGTCTTTATTAATGAGTTTCTTGTAAACAGCATATAGTTAGTTCATGTTTTTAAATCTGTTCTGCCAATCTATATCTCTTAAGTGGGGGAATTTAATCCCTTTTTATTCAAAGTTAATATTGATATATGAGGTTTTGTTCCTGTTGTAATGTTAATTTTTTACCTAGTTGCTCTGTAGTCTCAATTGTTTTATAAAACCTGTGAGTTTTGTACTTTTGTGTGTATTTATGATGGTGAGTATTGAACTTTAATTTTGACTTTTACAATTCTTTTGAGCATTTCTTATAGGACTGGTTTAGTGATGATGAATTATCTTAGCATTTGCTTGTCAGGAAAGACTTGACTTTATTTCCCCTTCATTTATGATGCTTAGTTTAGCAGGGCATAACATTCGTGTTTGACAGGTTTTTTTTTCTTTAAGAAGTCCAAAAATTAGATCCAATCTCTTCTGGCTTGTAAGGTTTCTGCTGAGAAGCCCATTGTTATTCTGATGGGATTTCCTTTATAGATGACTGTATGCTTTTCTCTTGCTGATTTTAGAATTTTTTTCCTTCATGTTGACTTTAGATAGTCTGATGACTACATATCTTGATGAAGTCTGTCTTGCAATGTATCTTCCTGGCATTCTTTGAGCCTCTTTCATTTAGATGTCTAAATCTCTAGCAAGACTAAAGAGGTTTTCCCCAATTACTTCCTCAAATAGTTTTTCCAAACTTCTCACTTTTTCTTTTTCCTCAGGAATACCTGTGACTCATAGGTTCAGTTACTTTACATAATCTCATACTTCTTGAAAGCTCTGTTCATTTTTAAAATTTTTTTCTTTATTTTTGTCTGACTGGGTTAATTCATAAGAGACTTGTCTTCAAGTTCTGAACCTCTTTCTTCTGCTTGGTTTAGTCTATTGTTAGAGCTTTCAACTATATTTTGTAATTTCTTAAATGAATTTTTCAATTACAGAAGTTCATTTGAAAAAACTATTTAGGCTGGGCACAGTGGGCTCACACCTGTAATCCCAGCATTTTGGGAGGCCAAGGTGGGCAGATCACTTGAGGTCAGGAGTTCAAAACCAGCCTGGCCAACAGGGTGAAACCTTGTCTCTACTAAAAATAAAAAAAAAAATTATCTGGGCGTAGTGGCACACACCTGTAATTCCAGCTACTCAGTAGGCTGAGGCAGGAGAATCACTTGAACCCTGGAGGCAGAGTTTGCAGTGAGCCGAGATCGCACCACTGCACTCTGGCTTGGGCAACAGAACAAGACTCCATCTCAACAACAACAACAACAACAACAACAAACAAACAAACAAACAACAAAAAAACTATTTTAAAAAATCCATCTCTTTAGTAGATTTTTCATTCATATCCTGAGTTATATTTCTGATTTGTATTGATTTTTTACTTTCTCTTGGACCTTACTGAGATTCTTTAAAATTAATATTTTGAATTCTTTGGTATTTCAAAGATTTCATTTTGGTTAGGGTTCATTGTGGAAGAGTTAGTGCAATCCTTTGGGGTGTTGTAACACTCTTTTTTTTATACTTCCAGAATTGTTTCTTGGGTTCCTTCTCATTTGGATCAACTATCTGTTCTTATTTTTAAATTTACTTTCATTTGGTCAGGACTTTTTCCCCCTTGAGGATGTGATTATAATATACATTGTGTAGGGTTATTTGGCCTTGGTTCTGGGTGCTTTCAGTGGCAAAGAGTCTGTATGAGTTTCTTGATTATAGATAGCCTTTGTGTGGTGGCTTTCTCAAATGCTGGTTGTAGTAGTGATGTGCTGGGCTAGGCTCACTGCCTCCTGCAGGGCTAGAGTGCAGAAGTCTTAGGAAGCTTAACTTGTTTCCCCGTGCTGTGCACTTGTGTAAGCCAGTTTTTTACTGGGTTGTGTAGTTAGACCTCCAGGCTACTATGTGGTGCTTATGAATAAAATCTGGGCAGAAGCAGGTGGGTGTATGCTTGATCTTTGTTTACGGGGAGAAGCTCTCTGTTGCCTCAGGCAAGGGACAGTCTATGGAATATACACTGGCCTGAGCTCCCTGCTCAGCCCCTAAGGGGAGGATAAAGCTGGGTGGAGCTAAACTGTCAAACTTTCCTTCAAATAGCTCATTGGCAGGCACAAACACCAGCACTTGTGGTAATGATGGGGAGAATGGCATATACTCTGTATGAATTCCTTGGTTATAAATAGCCTTCATGCGGTGACTTTCTCAAATGCCAGTTGTAGTAGTGATGTACTAGGCATGTGATGAGGCTCACAGTCTCCTGCAGATCTTGAGTGGCAGAGGTCCTGAGACGCTTATCTTTTTCTCGAGCACTGTACGCTTATGTCAACACTTCTATCGGGTTGTGCAGTTTGACCTCCAGGCCAGTAGGTGGCACTTGCAGTTAAGAGCTGGATGCGGTGATAGCAGGGAGTTTATATTTGATCTTTGTTTACTGGGAGAAACAGTATTGTCTCAGGAAATGGTCTGTCTGTGGAATGCACAGTGGCATGGGCTCCATTCTCAGCCCCAAAGTGGGGGCAAAGTTGGGCACAGCTCGATGGGGCAGGCTTGCCCTCAGGTTTCCCAATGGCAACCACAATCATTAGCCCTGATGGGCGTGTCGAGGAGTTATGTAGACTTTTTATGATTTCCTTGGTTGCAAATAGCTTTACTGTAGTGGCTCTCTCAAATGCCAGCTATAGTAGTAACGTACTACTTGTACAAGTAATGTACTAGTTGAGTGGGCTCAGGGTCTCTTGGGTAGCTGGGGCATTGTGGGGAATGGTGGCAGCTGAGGTCATGGAAGCTTATCTCCTACCTGAACGTACTGCCATCGTCTCTTTGCTCGCTTTTGGTTTCTGTGTGCATGAGATATCTTTTTCTATCCCTTTATTATCAGTCTATGTGTCTTAACAGTTGAAGTGAGTTTCTTGTAGGCATTACATTACTGGGTCACTTTTTTAAAAAATTCATTCAGACAGCCTATATGTTTTAAGTGGAATATTTAATCCACTTAACAGTCAAACTTACTATTTATATATGAGGACTTTTTCTTGTCGTTTTGGTAATTAGTTTTTGGTTGTTTTGTATAGCCTTTTTTTTCTCTCTTATTTATAATTATGGTTTAGTGGTTTTCTGTAGTGGTAACATTTGGGTCTTTTCCTCATTTATGCATTTGCTGTACCAGTGATTTATACTTTTGTGTGTTAAAATCAGAAAAGAAAAAAGGAGACATCACACATGATATCACAGAATACAAAAGATCATCAGAGACTATTATGAACAAGTATACACTGACAGGAAAATCTAGGGGAAAAGGTAAATTCCCACACACATACCAGCCACCAACATTAAATCAAAAAGAAACAGAAATCCTGAACAGACCAATAATGTGTGATAAGATTGAATTCGTAATAAAAAATCTCTGAAGAAAAGCCCAGGATCAGAAGGATTCACTGGTTTACCAAGTTCTACCAAATGTATAAATAACTAACATGAATCCTCCTCAAACTGTTCCAAAAAATTGAAGAAGGAATTCTCCCTATAGCATTCTAAAGGCCAGCATTACTCAGATACCAAAACCTGACAAGAACACAACAAAACGAAAGAAGCTACAGGCCAATATCCCTGATGAAATCCTGCAGAAATCCTGAACAAAATACTAGCAAGTCAAATCCAACAGCACATCAAAAAGGTAATATATCATAATCAAATGGCATTTATCCCAGAGAAGCAAAAATGATTCAACATATGCCAGTTGATAAACATGACACATCAACAAAATGAAGGACATAAACAATATGACCATCTCAATAGATGCAGGAAAAGGCATTTGATAAAATTCAACACCACTTCATGATTAAAAACTCAACAAACTAGGCACAGAAGGAACATACCTCAACATAATAAAGGTCATATGGCCAGGCGCAGTGGCTCACGCCTGTAATCCCAGCGCTTTGGGAGGCTGAGGCAGGCGGATCACGAGGTCAGGAGTTCGAGACCAGCCTGACCAACATGATGAAACCCTGTCTCTACTAAAAATACAAAAAAAATTAGCCAGGTGTGGTGGTGGGCCCCTGTAATCCCAGCTACTCGAGAGGCTGAGGCAGGAGACTCACTTGAAACTAGAAGGCAGAGGTTGCAGTGAGCTGAGGTCGTGCCACTGCACTACACCCTGGGCAACAAGAGCAAAACTCCGTCTCAAAAAAATAAAATAAATAAAATAAATAAAGGTCATATATGTGACAAACACACAGCTAACATCATATTGAATGAAGAAAAGCTGAAAGCCTTTCCTTTTTTATTTATTTATTTATTTATTTATTTTTTATTATACTTTAAGTTTTAGGGTACATGTGCACATTGTGCAGGTTAGTTACATATGTATACATGTGCCATGCTGGTGCGCTGCACCCACTAACTCGTCATCTAGCCTTAGGTATATCTCCCAGTGCTATCCCTCCCCCCTCCCCACACCCCACCACAGTCCCCAGAGTGTGATATTCCCCTTCATGTGTCCATGTGATCTCATTGTTCAATTCCCACCTATGAGTGAGAATATGCGGTGTTTGGTTTTTTGTTCTTGCGATAGTTTACTGAGAATGATGATTTCCAGTTTCATCCATGTCCCTACAAAGGACATGAACTCATCATTTTTTATGGCTGCATAGTATTCCATGGTGTATATGTGCCACATTTTCTTAATCCAGTCTATTATTGTTGGACATTTGGGTTGGTTCCAAGTCTTTGCTATTGTGAATAATGCCGCAATAAACATACATGTGCATGTGTCTTTATAGCAGCATGATTTATAGTCATTTGGGTATATACCCAGTAATAGGATGGCTGGGTCAAATGGTATTTCTAGTTCTAGATCCCTGAGGAATCGCCACACTGACTTCCACAATGGTTGAACTAGTTTACAGTCCCACCAACAGTGTAAAAGTGTTCCTATTTCTCCACATCCTCTCCAGCACCTGTTGTTTCCTGACTTTTTAATGATTGCCATTCTAACTGGTGTGAGATGATATCTCATTGTGGTTTTGATTTGCATTTCTCTGATGGCCAGTGATGATGAGCATTTTTTCATGTGTTTTTTGGCTGCATAAATGTCTTCTTTTGAGAAGTGTCTGTTCATGTCCTTCGCCCACTTTTTGATGGGGTTGTTTGTTTTTTTCTTGTAAATTTGTTTGAGTTCATTGTAGATTCTGGATATTAGCCCTTTGTCAGATGAGTAGGTTGCGAAAATTTTCTCCCATGTTGTAGGTTGCCTGTTCACTCTGATGGTAGTTTCTTTTGCTGTGCAGAAGCTCTTTAGTTTAATTAGATCCCATTTGTCAATTTTGTCTTTTGTTGCCATTGCTTTTGGTGTTTTGGACATGAAGTCCTTGCCCACGCCTATGTCCTGAATGGTAATGCCTAGGTTTTCTTCTAGGGTTTTTATGGTTTTAGGTCTAACGTTTAAATCTTTAATCCATCTTGAATTGATTTTTGTATAAGGTGTAAGGAAGGGATCCAGTTTCAGCTTTCTACATATGGCTACCAGTTTTCCCAGCACCATTTATTAAATAGGGAATCCTTTCCCCATTGCTTGTTTTTCTCAGGTTTGTCAAAGATCAGATAGTTGTAGGTATGGGCGTTATTTCTGAGGGCTCTGTTCTGTTCCATTGATCTACATCTCTGTTTTGGTACCAGTACCATGCTGTTTTGGTTACTGTAGCCTTGTAGTATAGTTTGAAGTCAGGTAGTGTGATGCCTCCAGCTTTGTTCTTTTGGCTTAAGATTGACTTGGCGATGCGGGCTCTTTTTTGGTTCCATATGAACTTTAAAGTAGTTTTTTCCAATTCTGTGAAGAAAGTCATTGGTAGCTTGATGGGGATGGCATTGAATCTGTAAATTACCTTGGGCAGTATGGCCATTTTCACGATATTGATTCTTCCTACCCATGAGCATGGAATGTTCTTCCATTTGTTTGTATCCTCTTTTATTTCCTTGAGCAGTGGTTTGTAGTTCTCCTTGAAGAGGTCCTTCACATCCCTTGTAAGTTGGATTCCTAGGTATTTTATTCTCTTTGAAGCAATTGTGAATGGTAGTTCACTCATGATTTGGCTCTCTGTTTGTCTGTTGTTGGTGTATAAGAATGCTTGTGATTTTTGTACATTGATTTTGTATCCTGAGACTTTGCTGAAGTTGCTTATCAGCTTAAGGAGATTTTGGGCTGAGACGATGGGGTTTTCTAGATAAACAATCATGTCGTCTGCAAACAGGGACAATTTGACTTCCTCTTTTCCTAATTGAATACCCTTTATTTCCTTCTCCTGCCTGATTGCCCTGGCCAGAACTTCCAACACTATGTTGAATAGGAGTGGTGAGAGAGGGCATCCCTGTCTTGTGCCAGTTTTCAAAGGGAATGCTTCCAGTTTTTGCCCATTCAGTATGATATTGGCTGTGGGTTTGTCATAGATAGCTCTTATTATTTTGAAATACGTCCCATCAATACCTAATTTATTGAGAGTTTTTAGCATGAAGGGTTGTTGAATTTTGTCAAAGGCTTTTTCTGCATCTATTGAGATAATCATGTGGTTTTTGTCTTTGGCTCTGTTTATATGCGGGATTACATTTATTGATTTGTGTATATTGAACCAGCCTTGCATCCCAGGGATGAAGCCCACTTGATCATGGTGGATAAGCTTTTTGATGTGCTGCTGGATTCGGTTTGCCAGTATTTTATTGAGGATTTTTGCATCAATGTTCATCAAGGATATTGGTCTAAAATTCTCTTTTTTGGTTGTGTCTCTGCCCGGCTTTGGTATCAGAATGATGCTGGCCTCATAAAATGAGTTAGGGAGGATTCCCTCTTTTTCTATTGATTGGAATAGTTTCAGAAGGAATGGTACCAGTTCCTCCTTGTACCTCTGGTAGAATTCGGCTGTGAATCCATCTGGTCCTGGACTCTTTTTGGTTGGTAAACTATTGATTATTGCCACAATTTCAGCTCCTGTTATTGGTCTATTCAGAGATTCAACTTCTTCCTGGTTTAGTCTTGGCAGAGTGTATGTGTCGAGGAATGTATCCATTTCTTCTAGATTTTCTAGTTTATTTGCGTAGAGGTGTTTGTAGTATTCTCTGATGGTAGTTTGTATTTCTGTGGGATCAGTGGTGATATCCCCTTTATCATTTTTTATTGTGTCTATTTGATTCTTCTCTCTTTTTTTCTTTATTAGTCTTGCTAGCGGTCTATCAATTTTGTTGGTCCTTTCAAAAAACCAGCTCCTGGATTCATTGATTTTTTGAAGGGTTTTTGTGTCTCTAGTTCCTTCAGTTCTGCTCTGATTTTAGTTATTTCTTGCCTTCTGCTAGCTTTTGAATGTGTTTGCTCTTGCTTTTCTAGTTCTTTTAATTGTGATGTTAGGGTGTCAATTTTGGATCTTTCCTGCTTTGTCTTGTGGGCATTTAGTGCTATAAATTTCCCTCTACACACTGCTTTGAATGCGTCCCAGAGATTCTGGTATGTTGTGTCTTTGTTCTTGTTGGTTTCAAAGAACATCTTTATTTCTGCCTTCATTTCCTTATGTACCCAGTAGTCATTCAGGAGCAGGTTGTTCAGTTTCCATGTAGTTGAGTGGCTTTGAGTGAGATTCTTAATTCTGAGTTCTAGTTTGATTGCACTGTGGTCTGAGAGATAGTTTGTTATAATTTCTGTTCTTTTACATTTGCTGAGGAGAGCTTTACTTCCAACTATGTGGTCAATTTTGGAATAGGTGTTGTGTGGTGCTGAAAAAAATGTATATTCTGTTGATTTGGGGTGGAGAGTTCTGTAGATGTCTATTAGGTCCACTTGGTGCAGAGCTGAGTTCAATTCCTGGGTATCCTTGTTGACTTTCTGTCTTGTTGATCTGTCTAATGTTGACAGTGGGGTGTTAAAGTCTCCCATTATTAATGTGTGGGAGTCTAAGTCTCTTTGTAGGTCACTCAGGACTTGCTTTATGAATCTGGGTGCTCCTGTATTGGGTGCATATATATTTAGGATAGTTAGCTCCTCTTGTTGAATTGATCCCTTTACCATTATGTAATGGCCGCCTTTGTCTCTTTTGATCTTTGTTGGTTTAAAGTCTGTTTTATCAGAGACTAGGATTGCAACCCCTGCCTTTTTTTGTTTTCCATTTGCTTGGTAGATCTTCCTCCATCCTTTTATTTTGAGCCTATGTGTGTCTCTGCACGTGACATGGGTTTCCTGAATACAGCACACTGATGGGTCTTGACTCTTTATCCAACTTGCCAGTCTGTGTCTTTTAATTGGAGAATTTAGTCCATTAACATTTAAAGTTAATATTGTTATGTGTGAATTTGATCCTGTCATTATGATGTTAGCTGGTGATTTTGCTCGTTAGTTGATGCAGTTTCTTCCTAGTCTCGATGGTCTTTACATTTTGGCATGATTTTGCAGCGGCTGGTACCAGTTGTTCCTTTCCATGTTTAGCGCTTCCTTCAGGAGCTCTTTTAGGGCAGGCCTGGTGGTGACAAAATCTCTCAGCATTTGCTTGTCTGTAAAGTATTTTATTTCTCCTTCACTTATGAAGCTTAGTTTGGCTGGATATGAAATTCTGGGTTGAAAATTCTTTTCTTTAAGAATGTTGAATATTGGCCCCCACTCTCTTCTGGTTTGTAGGGTTTCTGCCGAGAGATCCGCTGTTAGTCTGATGGGCTTCCCTTTGAGGGTAACCCGACCTTTCTCTCTGGCTGCCCTTAACATTTTTTCCTTCATTTCAACTTTGGTGAATCTGACAATTATGTGTCTTTGAGTTGCTCTTCTCGAGGAGTATCTTTGTGGCGTTCTCTGTATTTCCTGAATCTGAACGTTGGCCTGCCTTGCTAGATTGGGGAAGTTCTCCTGGATAATATCCTGTAGAGTGTTTTCCAACTTGGTTCCATTCTCCGCATCACTTTCAGGTACACCAATCAGACGTAGATTTGGTCTTTTCACATAGTCCCATATTTCTTGGAGGCTTTGCTCATTTCTTTTTATTCTTTTTTCTCTAAACTTCCCTTCTCGCTTCATTTCATTCATTTCATCTTCCATTGCTGATACCCTTTCTTCCAGTTGATCGCATTGGCTCCTGAGGCTTCTGCATTCTTCACGTAGTTCTCGAGCCTTGGTTTTCAGCTCCATCAGCTCCTTTAAGCACTTCTCTGTATTGGTTATTCTAGTTATACATTCTTCTAAATTTTTTTCAAAGTTTTCAACTTCTTTGCCTTTGGTTTGAATGTCCTCCCATAGCTCAGAGTAATTTGATCATCTGAAGCCTTCTTCTCTCAGCTCGTCAAAGTCATTCTCCATCCAGCTTTGTTCCGTTGCTGGTGAGGAACTGCGTTCCTTTGGAGGAGGAGAGGCGCTCTGCGTTTTAGAGTTTCCCGTTTTTCTGTTCTGTTTTTTCCCCATCTTTGTGGTTTTATCTACTTTTGGTCTTTGATGATGGTGATGTACAGATGGGTTTTCGGTGTGGATGTCCTTTCTGTTTGTTAGTTTTCCTTCTAACAGACAGCACCCTCAGCTGCAGGTCTGTTGGAATACCCTGCCGTGTGAGGTGTCAGTGTGCCCCTGCTGGGGGGTGCCTCCCAGTTAGGCTGCTCGGGGGTCAGGGGTCAGGGACCCACCTGAGGAGGCAGTCTGCCCATTCTCAGATCTCCAGCTGCGTGCTGGGAGAACCACTGCTCTCTTCAAAGCTGTCAGACAGGGACATTTAAGTCTGCAGAGGTTACTGCTGTCT
The DNA here is from genome assembly GCF_000001405.40 of Homo sapiens. NCBI lineage: Eukaryota > Metazoa > Chordata > Mammalia > Primates > Hominidae > Homo > Homo sapiens. The sequence continues at coordinate 130,542 of NC_000020.11, read as the reverse complement.
TTTTGTTTGTCTGTGCCCTGCCCCCAGAGGTGGAGCCTACAGAGGCAGGCAGGCCTCCTTGAGCTGTGGTGGGCTCCACCCAGTTCGAGCTTCCCGGCTGCTTTGTTTACCTAAGCAAGCCTGGGCAATGGCGGGCGCCCCTCCCCCAGCCTCGCTGCCGCCTTGCAGTTTGATCTCAGACTGCTGTGCTAGCAATCAGCGAGATTCCGTGGGCGTAGGACCCTCCGAGCCAGGTGCGGGATATAGTCTCGTGGTGCGCCGTTTTTTAAGCCGGTCTGAAAAGCGCAATATTCGGGTGGGAGTGACCCGATTTTCCAGGTGTGTCCGTCACCTCTTTCTTTGACTCGGAAAGGGAACACCCTGACCCCTTGCGCTTCCCAGGTGAGGCAATGCCTCGCCCTGCTTCGGCTCGCGCACGGTGCCGGTGCGCGCACCCACTGGCCTGCGCCCACTGTCTGGCACTCCCTAGTGAGATGAACCCGGTACCTCAGATGGAAATGCAGAAATCGCCGTCTTCTGCTCACGCTGGGAGCTGTAGACCGGAGCTGTTCCTATTCGGCCATCTTGGCTCCTCCCCCAAGAGTCGCCTTTCCTTTAAGAACTGGAATAAGACAAGAAGATGTCCACTTTCATCATTCCCATTCAACATAGTACTGGAAGTGCTAGATAGAGCAATTAGACAAAAAAAGAAATAAACAGTATCTAAATGGGAAACAGGAAACTAACTTATCCCTCTTTGCAGATGACATAATTTTATTTAAAGAAACCTAACGACTCCACCAAAAACCTCTTAGAATTGATAAACAAATTCAGTAAAGTTGCAGAATGCAAAATCAATGCTAAAAAATCAGTAGCATTTTTATATGCCAATAATGAACTAGCCAAAAAAGAAATCAAGAAGGCAATTCCATTTACAATAGCTACAAAAAATACCTAAGAATAAATTTAACCAAGGAGGAGAAAGATGTCAACAAGGAATACCCCAAGACACGGATGAAAGGAATGGAAGACGACACAAACAAATGGAAATGCCTCCCATGCTCATGAAAAGGAACAATCAATTTTGTTAAAATGACCATATTTCCTAAAACAATCTACAGATTCAATTCAATTCTTATCAAAATACCAATGACATTTTCCACATAAATAGAAAAATCAATCCTAAAATGTGTATGAAACCAAAAAAGAGCCAAAATAGCCAAAGCAATTCTGAGACAAAAGAACAAAGTTTGTGGCATCACACTACCTGCCTTCATAATATATTACAAGGCTATAGTACTTATAGCAAAACAATATGGTGTTGGTATAAAAATGAACATATAGATCAATGGAACAGAATAAAGAATCCAGAAATAAATTCACATATTTACAGCCAACTGATTTTCAACAAAGGCACCAAGAACATCCACTGGGGAAAGGACACACTCTTCAATAAATGGTGCTGGGAACTGGATATTTATATGCAGAAAAATGAAACTAGACCCCTATCTATCATCATATACAAAAGTCAACTCAAAATAGATTAGAGACTTAAACCTAAGACCCAAAACCATAAAACTACTAGAAGAAGACATAGGGGAAACACTCCAGGACTTTGGTCTAGGCAAATATTTTAAGACCTTAAAAGCACAGGCAACAAAACCAAGAACAGACAAATGGGACTGTATCAAACTAGAATAAACAAGGGACTCAACTGAAAGCAAAAAAAACAGAAACAAAAACAAATGATATCCTTGAAAAATGAGCAAAGAACAAAAATAGACATTCTCAAAAGACATGCAAATGGTCAACATATACATGGAAAAATGCTCAGTATCACTAGTCAACAGGGAAATGCAAATCAAAACATTGTTTGACTCTGTTTTTAGACACATACACATTAAGGATTGTTATGTCTTGTTGGAGAAATGAGCACTATTATTATGATAAGATTTTTTCCTTTGTCTTCTTTCAGGATTCTTTCTTTATATTTTGTTTCATGGAGCTTGAATATGACATGATTAGGTTTTTTTTTTTTTTTTTTTTGCATTTATCCTACTTAGTATTCTCTGAGCTTCTTGGATCTGTGGTTTGATGTTTGATATTAATTTGGGGAAAATTTTCTTTTTCTTTTTCATTTTACTCAAGTTTTTTTTTCTTTCTTTTTATTTTACTTTAAGTTCTGGGATACATGTGCAGAACGTGCAGGTTTGTTACATAGGTATGCATGTGCCATGGTGGTTTGCTGCACCTATAAACCTGCCATCTAGGTTTTAAGCCCCACGTGCATTATTTGTCCTAATGCTTTCTCATTGCCCCCCCACCCCTGGCAGGCCCCAGTGTGTTACATTCCCTTCCCTGTGTCCATGTGTTCTCATTGTTCAACTCCCACTTATGAGTGAGAACATGCGGTGTTTGGTTTTCTGTTCCTGTGTTAGTTTGCTGAGAATGATGGTTTCCAGCTTCATCCATGTCTCTGCAAAGGACATGAACTCATTCTTTTTTATGAATGCATAGTATTCCATGGTGTATATGTGCCACATTTTCTTTATCCAATCTATCATTGGTGGGCATTTGGGTTGGTTCCAAGTCTTTGCTATTGTAAATAGTGCTGCAGTAAACATATGTGTGCATGTGTCTTTATAGTAGAACAATTTATAATTCTTTGGGTATATACCCAGTAATAAGATTGCTGGGTCAAAGGTATTTCTGGTTCTAGATCCTTGAGGAATCACCACACTGTCTTCCACAATGGTTGAACTAATTATACTCCCACTGAAGATTTTCAATTGTTGTTTTAAATATTTTTTTCTGTTCCTTTCTCTTTCTTCTCCTTCTGGTATTCCCATTACATGTAGGTTACACCTTTTGCAGTTTTCCCACAGTCCTTGGATTCTTTACCTTTTTTTTTTCTTTATATTCTTTGCTTTTCAGTGAGTAAAGATTTTTCAGGCCAAAAGTGAAAGAAATCGATACAGAGAATAAGTTGGATATACAAGCTACTTTTGATGGCTTTGTTAATTGTGGAGTGATTATATTAATATCTGATGTATTTGACTCCAAGGCAAGCAGTATTTACTAGAGATAATGAAGGCCATTTCATAATGATGAAAGGGTCAATTCATTAGAAAGACATGATGTATCTAATAATATAACTTAAAAATACATGAAGTAAAGATGGACAAAAGTAACTTGAAAACAGAAAAATCTTCAATCAGTTGGAAATTTTATCATTCACTGTTGGTTATTGATAGCATAACTAGACCAAACATTTAGTAAGAATGTAGCAAATGGCCAGGCGTGGTGGCTCATGCCTGTAATCCCAGCACTTTGGGAGGCCGAGGCAGGCAGATCACGAGGTCAGGAGTTCAAGACCAGCCTGGCCAACATGGTGAAATCCCGTCTCTACTAAAATACAAAAAATTAGCCGGGCATGGTGGCGCGCACCTGTAGTCCCAGCTACTCGGGAGGCTAATGCAAGGGAATCACTTGAACCCGGGAGGTGGAGGTTGCAGTGACCCAAGATCGTGCCACTGCACTCCAGCCTGGTTGGTGACAGAGCAAGACTCTGTCTCGAAAAAAAAAAAAAAGAATGTAGCAAATCTGAATAACCACCTCAATCCAATTAACATGTATAGAACACTACCTCCAATAATTACAGAATACCCGTTTTTTTTTCACATGCACATGGAATGCTCACTGAGATGGACAGTGTTGATTCTTTAAAGAAGTCCCTATAAATGTCAAAACACTAAAATATTGCAGAAATAATTGCAAAATAGCAATCAATTAAAAATGTGATATCTAGAAAAACATCAGTATTAAGTTGGAAACCAATAAAAATAAGATGTTAAGAAACATAATATTTTGAAATTAACTAGCATACTTTTATTATTTAAAAGTATTTAAAATTTAATTTAAAATTTAAAAAGTACTATTTAAAATTATGTAAAAGCCATGTGTTAAAGATAAAATTATAGGAATAATTAATATGTATTTTGAACGGCAAGATAGTAAAATACAACATTTTATAAAGTGTGAAATGCAGCTCCTGCCTTGCTTAAGGGGAAATCTTTAGCTGTAGATGCGTAACATCAAAGAAGAAGGGTTTACAAACAATAATTTTTTTTTACCAACTAGGGTTTCTACTGGGAATGCAAGGATATTTTAAAATAAAAAAGTAAATCAATGTATAGAGAGTTAGTTGGCTGGGCGCGGTGGCTCATGCCTGTAATCCCAGCACTTTGGGAGGCCCAGGCGAGCAGATCATGAGGTCAGGAGTTCGAGACCAGCCTGGCCAGTGTGGTGAAACCCCATCTCTACTAAAAATACAAAAACTGGCTGGGCATGGTGGCCCATGCCTGTAGTCCCAGCTACTTGGGAGGCCGAGGCAGGAGAATCTCTTGAACCCAGGAGGCAGAGGTTGCAGTGAGCTGAGATTGTGCCACTGCACTCCAGCCTGGGCAATAGAGGAAGACTCTGTCTCAAAAAAAAAAAAAAAGGTTATCGTATTCCCTTATTATCATTTTTATTTCCATAGGGTCTTTAGTGATATTCTTTGTTTTATTCCGCATGCTGGAAATTTGTGTCTTTCTTTGTCAGTCTTGCTAAAAGTGTGTCAATGTTATTGATCTTTTCAAAGAAGCAGCTTTTCATTTCACTGATTTTCTCTATTGTTTTTCTGTTTCCAATTTCATTGATTTGTGCTGTTATCTTTATTATGTTCTTTCTTCTGCTTACTTTGCATTTAATTTGCTCTTATTTTTCTAATTCAGGTGAGAGCTAAGATTATTGATTTGACATTTTTCTTCTTTTGTAATATAAGCATTTGTTGTTCTAAATTTCTCTCTTGGCACTGCTTTAGCACAAATTATGAATATGTTATATGTTCATTTTTATTTAATTCTATGTATATTTTATTCTTATTGAGACTTCTCTTTGACTTGGAAGCATGTTGTGTAATTTCCAGGTGTTTGGAGATTTTTGTGTTTTATTTCTGGTATTGATTCCTAGTTTGATTTCACTGTGTCAATCATATAGAGAATAAACTTTGTGCAGTTTAAATTCTTTTTAATTAGTTGAATATCCTTTTTTCTTCTTCTTCTTTTTTTTTTTGCCTAGGATATAGTCTATCTTAGTATACACTCTCTGAGCTCGAAAGGAATATTTACTCTGCTCTAGTTGAGTGGAAATGCTCCTTAAATGCCACGTGGATCCTGTAGTTAATGTTGTTGAGCTCTTCTATTGCTGTTGCTGATTTTCTTTCTTGTTGTTCTATCAATTCTGGAAAGAAGTGGGTGGTGATATCCCGACTGTGTTTTTGCTTATTTCTCTCTTTTAACTCTCTGTTATTGCTTCACATATTTTGCAGCTTTGTGTTTTGGAGCACACAAATTTAAGTTTGCCACATCTTTTTGGTGTATTGGACCTTTTGTCACTATGTAAAGGTGACAAAAAATCATCCTAATTTTTTTGATGTTCTGAAGTCTACTTTATCTGACATTAATATAGTCACTCCTGCAAACTTTTTATTAATATTTGTATGGTATATCTTTTTCCATTCTTTTACTTATAACCTATTTATATCATTATATTTGATGTGAGTTTCTTGTATATAGCATATTACTGGGTCATCTAAAAACATACTTTGCCAATATTCATCTTTAAATTTGTGTGTTTAGATCATTTAAATTTAATTAAATTATTGATATATTAATGCTTAAATCTTTCATTTTGTTTTTGTTTCCTTTTTGCTTCTTTGTCTTATTTTTCCTGCCATTTTGTGAGATATTTTTCCATAATTTAGAATTCCATTTTCATTCATCTATAGTGTTTTCAAGTGTATCTCTTTGTATAGCTTTTGTAGTGATTGTTGTCTGTGCTACATTATATATCCATAACTTATTACAGTCTACTGGTACATCATTTAACCACATCAGATAAAGATTTTATCTCCCTTTATATCTCTATGATAACCCCCCATTTCTAATATCATTGACTTAAATATTTTTTCTACCTATGCTGAGAATCACTATAGAGGGATAATTTTTGCTGTTACTGTCAAAAATAATTTAGAAAACTAAAAAGTAGGTAAAAAGTTTATTGCATTTCTGATGTTTTTGTTTTCTCTCTTCTTTTTTCCTTATGTTCCAAGACTCCTTTCTCAAAAAAAAAAAAAAATAATTTCTTTCACTGTGGAGGACTTCCTTTAGCTGTTCTTTTAGGTATACCTACTAGTGACCCCCCCTTTTTTTTTCAGTTTTCCTTCATTTGAGAATGTGTTTATTTGGTCCTTATTCTTGAAGGATATTTTCTTGGACATAGATATCTGGATTGAGACTTACTATTGAAGCACTTTAAAAATATTGTGCCACTTCCTCCTGCCCTTCGAAGTTTCTTATGAGAAATCTTTGAATTTCTTTCCTTCTCTTCTGGAATTCTAATAAAGATATTTTTGTTCATCTATTGTTAAACTGGTGTTTCCATGTGGAAATGAGATCTGGGACTTCCTATTCTGCCATCTTGCTGATGTCACCCGCTGTTTTTATTTTTCTGGAAATAGCTCAGCATCATTTGTGTCATTGTTCCTTCCTAGATAACATGTCCTTTTTCTCTGGCTACTTTTAAGATTTGTTCTCTGTCTTTGATTTTCAGCAGTTTGAAATCCACTATGTCTAGAAATTTTCTTTGAATTTGTCCTAATTAGACCTTGCTGAAGTTCTTGGATCAATTTTGCTATGTAGGAGGCTATTAGCTCTTATTTCTTCTGCTTCATTCTCTCCTTCCCTTCTTCTTGGGAGCCAATTAAATCCATGTTGAATTATTTGATAATATCTCACATCTCTCTGATGTTGTATTCAATTTTTCTTTACTTTTTTGTGTTTGTGTTCATTTGGGAAATTTCTATTCAAATGTTCATTTGAGTTTCAAGTGAAGTGATTGTTTTCTTTGCTTCTCCCAGTCTGCTGTTCAGCCCATTGAATGAATTATCCATTTCTGATATTGAATTTTTAATTTGTATTACTTTGTTTTGGCTCATAGATAAAATTCTCTATTTTATCAGTAAACACCAGTACTGTTTATTTTCCCACTATATTCTCTAGCATATTTCTATCAGAGTTACTTTGAGTTTCTGGTTGATAATTCCATTGGCTGGGTGTTGATCATTTCCTCTCTGGACAATGAGTTATGTCTTCTTTCTTTTTAAAAATATGTCATAACCTTTATTTTATGCCAGACATATAGAAGTTCAGTAGAGTTTTCAATAAATAATTACCTCCAAAAGGTAATTAATATTCTGTCTAGTATTGTTCTTCTGTCAAGTTGCTAGAGTAGTGAGTCAGTCTGATTTGTAGTTGAGCTGGTTGCAGCTTTAGCTAAAGTCACCTTACCAGAGACTTCAAATATTTTAAGGTTGAATCAATAATTTCTCTTCAGCAGAGCCTGGAACTTGGGCATTTTACCAAAGTAATTTACCTTACTAATTCTCTTGGTTCTTAAATGGGTTTATGTTTTATTTTTAACTCCTAATGCACCTAAAACTAAATTTGAGTAAAGGTATAGGATGACTTTATGAGGAAAAAAGTGTTCAAACTGAAATTGGATGACCACTTTTCATTGTTTCACAGAGGCAATCATATATGAATTAAGAATTTTCCATTTCTTTTTTTCAGCTGCTACTTTGTTCTTGTGGTTTCTGTTATTTATTATATTCTAATAGCAAAAGTGAAACTTATTTGGTAAAGAAAAATAAAGTGGAAAACAAGCTAAAAGAAAATCAGTAACTTCCTCCACCAAAGCAGTGTTTATACTATCATGTAAAACTTCATAGATGTGTTTGTGTGCATGTGTTTGCGTAGGTAATAAAGGATACATTCATTTATTATATTTATTCATTTATTGTGCATCTTCTCTCTGCCTGTTCTGATCAAGGAGCTAGGAATAAAGCAGTGAGAAAAACAATAGTCCATGGTCTCATGAAGTTTATGCACAAGTTGACAATACTCCAAATCTGTGACTTCAGGAAATATTTTCAGGATAGACTACAGGTATATAATTTATGTTTTTGTTTATTTTTAAAATTGTAATGATACTCTTTATAGAACTATTAAGCTACTTTCCTCCTACTCAGTAATGTAGTGTAAACTTCCAGCTAAAAGTCCCTTATTGTCTCTTTTCATATGCTCTGAAATGAACTGGAGGCAGTAAGAGAATGAACAAGAGAGAAGAAAACTACACATTTTAAACTTAAGAGAGTTTAATCCTAAATCACATTCTATCTATAATCCATGATGTGCCAGTTAGAAAGTATAATAGGCTGTAATATGAAACAGAAAAACATGAAAAAGGCATTTTGTTCATTTATTACAAATTCAGGTTTTATTTTTCTTACATAACATAAAGTCCAGAAATTATATAACAGCTTCACCATGCTAGTCACCCTCTACTCTTCTGTTCACATACTGTTATCCAGTGTTTTTGCTTCATTGTTATAGATGGCAGCATTACCTCCAGCATTATGACCATATTCCAAACAGGAGGAAGTGGAAGGCCAAAGTCAAGTGGGTGTCTACCACTTGAATATTTGGATCACTCCACCCCTCCCTTTAGTAATTTTTCCCAGAGACCCCACCAAAAACACATATCCTGTTTAAATATCATTGCCAACAATTGTGTCACATTCCACAACTGTGCGTTTAGGAAGTTTGGAATAGTGGCTTACGTGAGCATACTGTTGAACCCAAACCATCATTCTGACACAATATAGTGTAATAAGGAGCAAATAAACAGAAATGCCAAGAGCACGTTCATGCCTCAGCAGATTGCATGTGGCACACTCAGTTCTCCAAGAAAGGTGGCACATCTTGCAGGGCCAAACTAATGATCCCTTTCTTGGAACATGAAGATCTGATTGTGCTGGCAGCCTGCAGGCATATCCCATGATTTGTGGAACATCATAGATATTTAGGAGAGAAACTTCATGTTCGTGCCAACATCCATTAGATGAGTAGGCTAAAGAAGTGAAGGATAGAAGAACTTTGTTGACTGGTGATAAACGCCACTACTGCTGATTTAAGTCAGCTGAAGAATTTTGACAGCTGAAGAATTTTGACAGCTGAAGAATATCAACCTATATCCCCTGGAGCATACAGGGGCTGCTTAATAACTCTGCCATCCTAGGACACAATATATTAATAGTTTAATTCTAAATGGATTAAATATACAGGCAGGACACACTGTTAATGTTAATGAGAAAGTATTCAGAGTTAATAATATTTTCATGCAAGCTACTTATTGCTCTGATCATTCCCCTGGTCCCTGTTCCAACAAGGCTTTTTTGTTGCTGTTATTTAGCTTTGTTTTAGTAAATAATTGACACAAATAGGCTAACTCCCTTCAAAAGTGTACAATCTGAGTATAACTATTTTAGTGTTTATGTAAAGATACTGTAAGATAAATGGAAGAAGTATGTGTGATAAAGAGAAGATGATCAAATAGTGCTCCTGTAAAATAATGCCATGAAATAGAATATTAAATTACTTATTATTTAATAGTATTATGCTGCTACATTTGTGTAATTTAGACTTCAGCTTTTTTTTTTTTTTACTACAATAGATGAGGGTGTATTGTAACTATATTTTGTCTCTGGAACATTCATTCTTCCTTCTATAATGTGAACTGGTTGCTTCCTATGTAGGCTATACAGATGTCATCTTAGAATTTTGTTTTACTAGTCACCTGAGTTGGCACAGATATACCTGGAAATTGTGTTTTCTTTTTTTTTAGTTACTTTCTTTTTCTGCCTAGGCGATAACTTCTAAAGAAAGACTATGAGAAGTAAACTTCAGTATTATGCATTCCAGCAAACATGTCTTTTCTATCTTCACAGTTCAAGCATTTTAAAACAAAAGCTGTGGACAAGTTTGCACACATAAAATGGCTCAGTATATATGTAAAATATGAATAAACAATCTAGGCTGGCTATCTATTTGAGAAAATCTTTAACATGACTGAAAATAAATGAAGAAAGGCACATTAGAATAACTATTATTTAGGGGCTGGAGTTTCAAGAGTGTATTCCATCCATAAAGCAATAATATCATGCTATGTAAGGAGAAGTAGTAAACTTTTGGAAATTAGAAAAATGATTGTTTAGCAGGCACATTTGAAGATAAAGTGAGAAAATCTTTGAAGTCTAAAAACAAGTGGAAAGTATGAGCAAAATATATAAGACACAGAGTGTCAATCCAGGAGAGCCAATATCTGATTAATAAGATTTTCAAAGAGAAGGAGAAAGAAAATTAAAGAAAAAGAATTACAAAAAGCTACATAAATTTGAAAAGATAATAAATCTTCTTTTTTTTCAGAAATAATCTAAGAAATACTATTCTAGAAAATAAATAAGAATTGTCATCTAGATAAAATGACAAAGAGAAAAGTGGGAAACAGTCAGAGGGAAAAACAGAAACCATACTTTTGATAGAGTAATTGTTACACTGACAGGTGATTTTTCACCACAAACAATAGAAGCCATAATCCAATGGACTGAGCTCTTCAACGTATTTTTCAAAGTAAATGTCATCCTAGAAATCCATATCCACAAAAATATTTTAAGAAGAAAATATAAATACAACCTTTTCAGATAGAGATAGCAGATCTCATGAAAGGAAATTCTAAAGGATGTTCTTTAGTTTAAAAAAATGACCACACATGGAAAGTATGTGATGAAGAAGCAACAAAAAAAGGGATAAAAGTGGATTAAACTGGCAGAATTAAATAAAGATGTTTTATAAGATTAAAAACATAATTAAATATCAAAATTCTGAAAATAGAATCAATTGGGAGCGTTAAATAGAATTAAAGTGGTCTATGTTCCATATATTATTCAGAGATTGGTAAATTTATGGATTAACTCTAGTTGCTAGACTGGATGAAAAATTAGATGCTATTTACAACAGATAAATGTAAAAACAAGATACGGAGAAGATTGAAAGTGGAAATATGGGAAAAAAACTTAACATGCAAATACCAACAAAAGGAAGTTATCTTACTTCTTAGTATTGAACAAAATAGTATTTAAGGCAAAAATTATCTTAGAGGAAAATGGGTTACTTTATAATGATAACTTGTTGGAGTCACCCAGAAAATAGAACTACCTATAATTGTCACGCATGCAATAATATTGTCTTAGTATTATATGAAAGTAAAATAAAGCAATAGAATATAAACTGGAGGCAGGTGAAATGGAGTTGTATTCCATGCATTGTCTGAGGAGAAATACACATTTTTGGTTAATATTAGATATTGATAGGTTAAGAATGTATGTCTTCATTTCTAGAGTGATGATGAATAGAAAAGGAGAATACATTAAAAACTAGTGGGGAGGAAAATGGAATTAAAGAACATCTGGTTTATACAGAAAGATTAAAAGAAAGGAGAAAAAAGAGAAATATAGAAAACTCAGGAAAATGTAAATCACGTTAAACAATGGCCAATTTAAAGCCAAACATAACAGCAATTAAGTTAAGATTAAATGGGCCTGAGAAGTTCTGTTCTTGGGGAGAAATCAGTAAATCACAGAAAAGCAATGCCTTTGATACAAAACCTAGAAAAGCTTGATTTTTATTAAAATAATATTTCCAAGGCATTAGAGAACCAGAGAAATTACTGGTACTAGAAGAGTTGATATTCTAAAGAGAGAACAGAACAGGCTTTCTGTTTCTGGAGTAGGTCAATAATTGCCAGCCATTTCCCCCATGGGTGCCTTTGTCAGTTTGGGACAGACGGGAAATCAGGCTTGGCCCAGAAAGAAAGGCTTTCTGGGAGGTAATTGAATCAGCAGAAGTAGCAGAGATTCTAGGAATTACAAATTGGAATTTCAGGTGCCCCAAATTTTAGTCCCCCCAATGGAGCATTGGAAAAGTAGAGCTTTGTGAGAGGTTGGAAAGCTCAGCTGAAACTTCCGAAAGGCAGTAAGAGATTTCTTGTACTCTTGTAGTGCTTAGGAAACAGATATGATAGTGATATGGAGCCTACCTCAAGCACACAGATAGTCTCCCCCTTGAGACATTACAGAAGTGCCTGAATCAGGAGGCTGAAGAGCAATGTTTGAAAACCATAAAGAACAGAGCTAGAATTCCCTCATTGTTTTTTTGGGCTGAAGATACTGAGACCAAACAGACCCTGAAGAAAAAGCCTGGAGGGCTATTCCTGAGAAACAGGACCAAACTAGATGTGGTTGGAATCATTACTAATACTGAAACCCAGCCCTGAACCAGCTTAATGCCTTGTTATATTGAATTAGTCATGTCCTTATCTCTTTGCTATCTGGAGAAAGGGAGGACCTTTTATGTTTGAAGATAACATCACTTGGAGTCTCCAAAACCCATTTACCCAATGTTTGGCATACAATCAAAATAACATACCATAAAATGAAACTTATAAGCAATGGGGAAAAAAACCCGATAAAATTAGTGTAGTAGTCATTACATGTGAGATGGGTCTCTTGAACACAACAGATGGATGGGTCTTATTTTATGATCCAACTTGCCACTCTGTGCCTTTAAGTGGGGTGTTAAGACCATTTACATTCAAGGTTAATATTGATATGTGAGATTTTGATCCTGTCATGAAATTGTAAGCTGGTTGCTTTATAGTTCCTATTGTGTAATAGCTTTAAAGGGTCTATGTGCTATGTACTTAGGTGTGGTTTTGTGGTGGCAGATATTGTTCTTCCATCTTTATGTTTAGAACTCCAACTCCCTTAAGGATCTCTTGTAAGGCTGGTCTAGTGGCAATAAATTGCCTTAGTGATTGCTTGTCTGAAAAAGATCTTATTTCTCCTTCACTTATAAAGCTTAGTTTGGCAGGGTATGAAATTCTTGCTTGGAGTTTCTTTTCTTTGAGAATTCTTTAAATAGGCCCCCAGTCTCTTTGGGATTGTAGGGTTTCTGCTGATAAGTCTGCTGTTAGCCAGATGGGCTCACCTTTGTAACTCATCTGACACTTTTCTCTAGGCTGCCTTCAAGATTTTTTCTTTAGAATTGACCTTAGACTGTCTGATGACCCTATGTCTTGATGATGTTCACTTTGTATAGCATCTTGCAGGTGTTCTGTGAATTTATTGTATCTGGATGTCTACCTCTCTAGCAAGATAAAGGAAATTTTCTTGAATTATTCCCTCAAATATGCTTTCTAGGTTGTTTACTTTTTCCTCTTTCTCTCTTGAGAATGCCAGTAATTCATAGGTTTGGTCACTTTACATAATCCCATATTTCTTGAAGATTTGGTTCATTTTTCAAAATAACTTTTTCTTTATTTTGTCTGACTGGGTTAGTTTGAAAGACTGATCTTCAAGCTCTGAAATTCTTTCTTCTGCTACATCTAGTCTATTGATAAAACTTTTCATTGAATTTCGGAATGTCTTAAGTGAGTTTTTCACTTTCAGTAGCTCTGATAGATTTATTTTTAAGAGTTTACCTCTTCCTTTATTCTCTGGATTGCTTTACAGGTTTCTTTGTGTTGATTTTCAACCTTATCTTGAATCTCAAAGAATTTTCCTGCAATCTATGCTTTGAATTCTCCATCTGTCATCTCTCAGCTTCTATTTTGGCTAGGACCACTCCTGGAGAGCTAGAGTGAACCTTGTTGGTGTCACACATTCAGATTTTTCATGACAGCAGAATTCTTATACTAGTTCCTTCTTATCTGGAGGGGATTGTGTTGGGTAGGGCTTTTGGCTTTGTTTCTATAGTCCTACACACTTCTACCAGCAGGTTTTTTGATGGGCTGTCCAGTTTGACCTATAGACTGGTAGATGACATTTGCAAGTAACAGCCAGCTGTCCCATAAACAGATGGGTATAGATCTGATCTTTTTTTACTATTAGGGGCTCTCAGTTGTTTCAGGTGAAGGGCTGGACAGTGGGGGTGCCTGATGTACTGAGCTTCTTGTTCTGTGGGGATGGTGGGACAGAGCTGAGAAGAGCTGGTGCCCCTGGCTTGCCCATTAGTATACCAATGGCAAGCACAGGCACCAGCTCTGATGAGCGTGGCTGGGAGCAACTCCTGCACTGAGGTCTCTGTAGGGGCTTGTGGGCGAGAAGACTGCACCAGCTCCCCATCCTAGGTAGGTAGAAATGTGATCTGTTTCCTTATCACACCCTGTTTCAGGGCTCATGACTCCTAGTTCAGATGCACACTATAGTCTATCTCTGGACTGCAATGTGGTTGAGGGCCACAGGGAACACTTGTTTTATGATTCTCCATGAGAGTTGTTCAGGGTATAACCTCATCACTCAACCTGATACAGATAGCTTTAAGGCTCACTTATTCTATGATGGGGCATTACTGCTGCTTTTTGAGAAGGAAGGTCTCCACCTTTGGGTCCGTGCAGGTCGGTGTTGGTCATGGTGGTGTTTGCTGGTTGGGTAGGCCCAACCTCAGGCCCTGAGGAAATTGGTCAGGTGCCAACAGCACTGGAAGGGTATTGATAGTTTCTCAGCTGACAGGCCTCCAGAAGGCCTGCTGGACAGTGTGCATGGCCCTGAAGGGGCTGGACTGGGGTTATCTATCCCAGATTTCAGGTGCTGACTGTAATGGGGTGGGGGTGGGGTTCAGGCTGGTCCCTGGGTCACCAGCCAAACTCTCAGGCAGGGGAAGGTGGGATTCTTGGGTGGTGGGAACCCAGAAGAATATCACAGGCCTGTGGTGGGTGGGTTTTCGGAAAGGCTCTGGGTCGCAGGTGAAATGTTCAGGCAGGGGCAGGACAGTTGTGCTGTGGGCCTTTAACTGGAGAGCATGCCATCCCTTAGCTGGGGCAATGGAGACTGGAAGCTGTGGAATGCCTGGCATGCTTGCACCTCCCTCCTATCCAATAATGTTGAACTTCACTATTAGCAACACACAAAGGTGCCAGGCATTATCTGTTACCTCTGTGAGTTTTGCCCCAGGGGAATGGAAAGCTGCAACCCACTACAGTGTTCAGGTAGGGGCAGAGGTGCTGTGTTGAAGCCCAAACCAGCTAGCCTTGCCTGGCTCGGAGCAGCAGGGGAATGGGAGTCACACAATCCGCCATCTGAGTGGTTCCCAGGGGAGTGTAGAGTGTGCCCACATGCAGAGTTCAGGTGGAGGCAGACTGTTGCACTGGAAGCCAAAGCCGAGCCTTGCCTGGTGAGGAGGAGCAGGGCAGTCTGACCACTCCTCAGCACCATGACTGCAGCCCCTATCAGGGCTATGGCAGCTGGCACCAGGTTGATCAGGGATCCAGGGCCTGTGGGGCTCCACATGGCCCTTAGCAGTGCGTCTACACAAACTCCAGGATGTTGTGTCGATCTAGAGGCCTATAGGGGCCAAGGGGTTCTCCTGTGCACAGGATTGCAAAGATCCATGTGGATCCCCTGAGGACTCTCACTTACTCACCCTTTCCCCATGTTAGGGAATTTCTCTTGCTCCACACTGGTCCCGGGTGAGCGGCTGCTGCCAGGCTTCACTCTCTGCTCTCTGAGGATTCCCTCACTTCCTTGGTGAATCCTGATGTGGTCTCCCAGACGATCCACTTGAAAAGCCACTATTTACTCGCTACTTTGTTTCCTCTCCGTGAGAGTAGCACACGCTAGCTGCTTCTAGTCAGCCATCTTGAAACTGCCATCAAGATATTTCTAAATATACACAGATTATTCTGTAATTTATATGGAAAGGCAAAATAGCTAGAATGGATTAGTCAATCTTGAAAAAATAGAATAAAGTCGGAGAAATTAATTCTACCCAATTATGAAAGTTGTTGTATAGCTTCAGTAACCAAGATTTGTATTAGCAGAGGAATGGACACATACATGAATGGAAAAGAATACAGAATCCGGAAGTAGAACCATACTAGTATAGCCAATTGATTTTTTTTACAAAGATATAAAACCAATTAAATGAAGGAAGAATAATCTTTTTAAATATAGGTGATGGAACAGTTGCATATCCACAGGTTAAAAAAAATTAACTTACCTAAACACCCCACATACATGAAAAAAAAGCCCTCAAAATTGGTCATAGAATCACATGTAAGATGTAAAACCATAAAGCTTTTAAAAGAAAACATAGGAGAAAATCTATGGAGCTTAATGCTTGGTTATGAGGTTTTAGACATGACACAAAAAGCCCAATCCATAAAAAGTAATTGACAAATTTAACTTCATCAAAGTCTTAAAATTTGCTCTGCAAAAGACCCTGTTAAGAAAATAAAAAGACAAGCAATAACCTTACAGAATGTATTTGCAGACTACACATAATAAATAAAATATAAAACTCTGAAAATTAACAGTAAAAGAAAAAAATTATCCCTGTTTACAGACAGCATAATCTTATATTTAGAAAAACCTAGACTCCACTGAAAGCTGTTAGAATTGGAGATCCTAGCCCAAACAATCAGGCAAGACAAGGAAATAAAAGGTGTCTAAATAGGAAAAGAGAAAGTCAAATTAGCTCTCTAAGCTGACAATGTGATTCTATGCGCCTAGAAAACCCTAATGATTCCACCAAAAGACTTCCAGATTTAATAAACAACTTCAGCAAAGTCTCAAAACACAATCCCATTCATGACAGCCACATGAAAAATAAAATACATTGCAAATATTTAGCCAAGGAGGTGAAAGATTTCTACCGGGAGAACTACAAAACACTGCTAAAAGAAATAATAAATAATATAAGCAAATGAAAAAATATCCCATGCTCATGGATTGGAAGAATCAATATCATTTAAATGGCCAAACTGCCCAATGCAGTCTATAGATTCAACACTATTTCTATCAAACTGCCATTATCATTTTTCACAGAATTAGAAAATCTATTCTACAATTCATATGAAACCAAAAAAGAGCCCCAATAGTCAAAGCAAACTTAAGCAAAAGGAACAAAGCTGGAGGCATCACATGACCTAACTTCAAACTATAAGCCAACAGTAACCAAAACAGCATGATACTGGTACAAAAACAGACTCATAAACCAATGGAACAGAATGGAGAACCTGGAAATAAAGCCACAAACCTGCAGCCATTTGATCTTCAACAAAGACAACAAAAATTATCATGGAGAAAGGACTCCCTATTCAATAATTCTATTCAATAATTCAGTAATGGTGCTTGGATAGCTGGCTAGCCATATGCAGAAGAATGAAATGGACCCCTGCCCTTCACCATGTATAAAAATTGACTCAAGTTCGATTAGAGATTTAAATGTAAGATCCAAAACTTTAAGAATCCTAGAAGAGCTGGGCGCAGCGGCTCACACCTGTAATCCCAGCACTTTGGGAGGCTGAGGTGGGCGGATCATGAGGTCAGGAGTTTGAGACCAGCCTGACCAACATGGTGAAATCTGGTCTCCAGTAAAAATACAAAAATTAGCCAGGTGTGGTGGCATGCACCAGTAATCCCAGCTACTCAGGAGGTTGAGGCAGGAGAACAGCTTGAACCCAGGAGGTGGAGGTTGCAGTGATCTAAGATCACGCCACTGCACTCCAGCCTGGGCAACAGAGTGAGACTCCATCTCAAAAAAAAAAAAAAAAAAAAAAAAGAAAGAAAAAAGAATCCTAGAAGAAAACCTAGAAAACACCATTCTCAACATCACCTTGGAAAATAATTTATGACTAAGTTCTCAAAAGCAATTGAAAAAAACAAAAACCAAAAATTGGAAAGTGGGACTTAATTAAACTTCTGCACCACAAAACTCTCAACAGAGTAAACAGATAACCTATAGAATGGAAGAAAATATTTACAGACTATGCATCCAACAAAGATCTAATATCCAGAATCTATAAGGCAATTAAACAATTCAATAAGAAAAAAAAACTCATGGAAAAAATGGGCAAAGGACACAAACAGACACTTCTCAAAGGAAGACATATAAGTGCTCAACAAACATATGAAAAAAATGCTCATCATCACTAATCATCAGAGCAATGCAAATCAAAACCATGACTGGATACCATTTCACAACAGTCAGAATGACTATTACTCAAACATGAAAAACAAATAAACAGATGTTGGTGAGGTTGCAGAGAAAACTGAACATTTTTACACTCTTGGTGGGAATGTAAATTAGTTCAGCCAGTTTGAAAGCAGTTTGGAGATTTCTTAAGGAACTTAATGATAGAGCTACCATTCAACCCAGCAATCTCATTACTGGGTATCTATGCAAAAGAAAACAAATCATTCCACCAAAATGACAGATGCAGTTATAGCTCATCACAGCACTATTCACAATAGCAAAGACATGAAATCAACCTACATGCCCATCTATGGTGGATTGGATAAAGACAATGTGTTATATATACACCATCAAATACTATGCAGCCATAATAAAGAATGAAATTATGCTCTTTGCAGCAACATGGATGCAGCTGGATGTTGTAATACTAAGTGAATTAACACAGGAACAGAAAACCAAACACCATATGTTGTAAGTGGAGGCTGAACATTGAGTACTGATGGACATAAAGATGAAAACAATAGACACTGGGTACTACTGGGTAGGCGGTGGACAAGGTTTGATAAACTAACTACTGGGTACTATGCTCAGACCTGTGTGACAAAATCATTCATATCCCAAACCTCAGCATCATGCAATATACCCAGGTAACAAACTTGCACATGTATCCCCTGAATCTAAAATGAAAGTTGAAAAAAGAGAGAATGGCAATTAATACATGATGGGATTAAAGCAGTAGCCATTACACGGTGACTTGAATTCCCCTGGGGTAATGGCCCCACCCTGAGACAAAAAAGATTATGAAAGGCATTAAAACATACTAAAAACTAAATTAGATCTAGTTTGACTACAATTCATCTAATCTATATATGAAGAACCCGCATTTTGGGGTAAAAACCACATATGCTAACTGCACTTGGGCCATAAGTATACAATGCCAACAACATGCATGGTGAATTAAACTACATTTGTGCATAAAACAGACTTTTTAGGGGCATTAGGTGTCAGTTCAGGCATCATGGGACAAGCTGAATTCCCTTTTAGTGAAGTCTAGAGGAAATATTACTGAACTAAAATGAGCAGATTGGAGAGAATTCTTTTCTAGGAGGAAGGCAAAAGATGAGGGTCATCCTGAGAAAGTGATGAGGCTTTATTAAAATGAAACAAGTAGACTCAAAAATAATGCTAGATAATGCTAAGATCCAACGTTGGGAAAGGGCTTGTACCCTGACCCAACAGTGCCTTTTGACTGTTTTAATTACAGATGAAGGTCAAAGTAACCATGGGGAAATAGCACTACATCCTAGTTGCTGAGGAAAAAGGGACACACTTATGGGAATCTCATGGGCCTTCAAACTTATGAAAGACCTCTCAGGGCATTTGTAAATGTGCATTGATGCACTACAAATTATTCTTGCCCCATTAGAGCTTCAGAATAAGACATATTCTGCAGTACAGTTAGTAGGGACTGAAGCTATCTGAATATCACCTGTGACCTCCCATAGGAGGGTGGGGAGGTCCTGCTGTAGAAAATCACACAATGGAAACCAGTCTCTGTCCAAGCTTGAAAACTAAAACGGGGTGGCTGTCTTTGTCCTCCGTTGACATGGAAGCCAGAAATAATCAAATCATTCTAACAATTATAACAATGCTTGTCCATAAGTATATCTTGTATATAAGCAAGGACTGTTTCTGTTGGGAAGGCATAGCAAAACTTACGTAAGCCTTACTAATTTGTTCTATGAATGAAACTAAATTGTTCCATGACTATATTGCTATACAGTGTGACACTATTATTGTTGGTAAGATTCAGCCACCTTATTAAATAAGTCATAGGATGGTACTGATACTGATGATCAAATGTATTGAGAGATTGAGTTAAGCCTCCTCAGGATGTATTACCAATGGAAAATGACTAGCCTAAGGAAGAATTGGATTTAGTTAACCATAAACTAATTTCTAGGCTAAATAATTCTGCAGCTGTAAGATTAAAGTGGTAGATCAAGGGGAGAAACAAGTAACAAATCAGTACAAAAATATGAAAATGTATGTAATGGCTTTATGAGATAGATTAGTTGTTTTTAAAATCTTTATCCCTACCCCACACTAGCTCCTCCAAATGTTTTTGAGCATAGCACAACCATGGTATGCTGGGCCTTCCACTGCTATATTTTATCTACTATAACTAGAGATCTTTCTTCATACTGATACTATTTCTAGATCTGTTATATAAATGCTATACTAAATGTAGATGCTCAGAAATATAGAATTGTTTTGCTGAAAGACAGCCTAGGCTAAGGGGTATGGGGTGGACTGTGTAATAAAGGGTTAACTCAGAAGATTTGGGGTTGTCCTAACCCTGCATATTTCAAAGGTCCTGGCAGATAATCTCTGAGCCCTTTAATTATCCTGCCTGATAAAGTGTCTTTGTATACCTGAGACTTGGCCCATGCCAAATAGTTTATGCTAACAATGTGATTTATGGTGAATAAATCATATATTTTTTTCTATGACTGGGGCTTCAGGCCAAGCGGTATTAGCTTGACTCCTAAGGTTAGGGGCTGAAGATTGAGTAGCTAAATTCAGTCTTGGGGATGCTTCATGCTTATGTGATTGACTCCCACTGAAAATGGCTGGCACCATTTT
Organism: Homo sapiens; assembly: GCF_000001405.40. NCBI lineage: Eukaryota > Metazoa > Chordata > Mammalia > Primates > Hominidae > Homo > Homo sapiens. The sequence goes on along the minus strand of NC_000020.11, from coordinate 109,945 downwards.
GCACTTATTGTCATACCTTATGGTTGGAAGAATTGAGTTCTATTCGTGTGATTCTGGAGGAAGAGTACAACTGAAAGCTCATACCTGTTTTTTCCTAGGCATCACTCTGTGCACCTTTTACCTTTGCTGACTTTAATCTGTATCTCCTAACTGTATTAAGCTGTAACCATGAGTATAATCGTTTTTATAGGTCTGGTGAGTTTTTCTAGTGAGTCATCAAACTTGAGGGTGATCTTGGAGACCCCTCAGTACAGCTAAACATATATAACAATGGAGTAGAATTGTGAGCCAAGAAATAAACTCTAACACTTATTTTTCTTTATAACTTCAACTTTTATTTTAGATACATGGGATACAAGTACAGGTTTGTTACATGGGTATATTGTGTGATGCTGTCGTTTGGGTTATGTTTCCTTTCACTTGGGTAGTGAGCATAGTACCCAATAGTTAGTTTATCAGCCCATGCCCCCCTTCCTCCCTCCTCCCTCTAGTAATCCACATTGTCTATTGTTTCCTTCTTTATGTTGATGACTACACAATGTTTTGCTCCTACTTATAAGTGAGAACATACAGTATTTGGTTTTCTGTTCCTGCATTAATTTGCTTAGAATTATGGTCTCCAGCTGCATCCATGTTGCTGCAGAAAACATGATTTCATTCTTTTTTATGGATGCATAGTATTTCATGTTGAATATGTAACACATTGTCTTTATCCAATCCACCATTGATGATTGATGAGCACATAGGTTGATTTCATGTCTTTACTATTGGGAATAGTGCTGCGATGAACATAGGGCTGCATGTGTCTTTTTGGTAGAATGATTTGTTTTCTTTTGCATAGATACCCACTAATGAGATTTCTGGGTCAAATGGTAGCTCTATTTTTAAGTTCCTTAAGAAATCTCCAAACTGCTTTCCAAACTGGCAGAACTAGTTTTTGTTCCCACCAAGAGTGTATGTGTTTCCTTTTCTCTACAGCTTCACTAGCTTCTGCTATTATTTGACTTTTGAATAATGGCCATTCTGACTGGTATGAGATGGTATCTAATTGCTTTGATTTGCCTTTCTTTGATGATTAGTGATGATGAGAATTCTTCATGTTTTTTGGCCACTTGTATGTCTTTTGAGAAGTGTCTGTTTATAACTTTTGCCCATTTTTAATGGGATTTTTTTTTGCTTATTGAATTAATTTCCTTATAGATTCTGGATATTAGACCTTTATTGGATGTATAGTTTGCGAATATTTTCTCCCATTCTGTAGGTTGTCTGTTTACTCTGTTGAGAGTTTCTTTTGCTGTGTAGAAGCTCTTTAGTTTAATTAGGTCCCACTTGCCAATTTTTGTTTTTGTTGCAATTGCTTTTGGAGACTTAGCCAAGAATTCTTTACCAACGTGGATGTTGAGAAGGGTATTTCCAGGTTTTCTTCCAGGATTCTTATAGTTTAAGATCTTACATTTAAATATTTAATCCTTGTGGAGTTAATTTTTATATATGGTGAAGGGCAGGGGTCCACTTTCATTCTTCTGCATATGGTTAGCCAGCTACCCAAGCACCGTTTATTGAATAGGGGGTCTTTTCCCTGTGCTTATTTTTGTTGTCTTTATCAAAGATCAGATGTCTGTAGGTGTGTGGCTTCATTTCTGGGTTGTCTATTCTGTTCCATTAGTGATATGTTTATTTTTGTACCAGTATCAGCTGTTTTGGTTACTGTGGGTTTATAATATAGTTTGAAGTCAGATAATGTGATGCCTCTGGCTTTGTTCCTTTTGCTTAGGATTGCTTTGGTGATTTGGGTACTTTTTGGATTCCATATGAATTGTAGAATAGTTTTTTTATAATTCTGTGAAAAGCAGTTTTTGTAGTTTGATAGAAATAGCATTGAATCTGTAGATTGCTTTGGAATGTATAGCCATTTAAATGACATTGATCTTTTTGATATATGAGTATGGAATTGTTTATATTTATTTGTGTCATCTCTGATTTCTTGCAGAAGTATTTTGTAGTTCTCCTTGTGGAGACCTTTCACTTCCTTGGTTAGCTGTATTCCTAGGGATTTTCATTTTTTATGGCTATTATAAATGGGATTGTGTTCTTGATTGGACTCTCAGGTTGAAGGTTATTGTGTATAGAAATGTACATTGACATTGATATTGTATCCTGAGACTTTACAGAAGTTGTTCATCAGTATTATAAGCCTCTTGCCAGAGTATTTGGGGTTTTCCAGGTGTAGAATCATATCATCAGCAATGAGGGATAGTTTGACTTCTTCTTTTCCTATTTGGATGCCTTTTATTTCTTTTTCTTGCCTGATTGCTCTAGTAGCACTTCCAGTACTATGTTGAATAGGCATGGTGAGAGTGGGCATCCTTGTCTTGTTGCAGTTCTGAAAGGGAATGGTTCCGGCTTTTACCAGTTCAGAATGATCGTGGCTATGGGTTTGTCATAGATGGCTCATTATTTTACGGTATGTTCCTTCAGTGCCTAGTCTGTTGTGGGTTTTTATCATTAAGGTGCGTTGGATTGTTTTCAAATCCTTTTCTGCATCTATTGAGATGATCATATTTTTTTGCTTTTAATTCTGATTATGTGGTGAATCACATTTATTGATTTGCATATATTGAGCCAGCCTTGCATCCCAGGAATAAAGCCTACTTGATTCTGATGTATTAATTTTTTGATCTGTTGCTGGGATTGGTTTCCTAGTATTTTGTTGAAAATTTTTGCATCTATGTTAATCAGGGATATTGGTCTGAGGTTTTCTTTATTTGTGTCTCTGACAGATTTTGGTATCTGGCTGATGCTGGCTTCATAGACTGAGTTAGGGAAGAGCCTCTCCTCCTAGATTTTTTTGGAATAGTTTCAGTAGAATTGATACCAGTTCTTTTTATGTCTGGTAGAATTAGGCTGTGAATCCATCTCTTCCAGGGTTTTTTTGGGCTGGTAGGTTTTTATTATTGATTCAGTTTAGGAACTTGTTTATTGATTGTTCAGGTTTTCATGTTCCTTTGGCTTTAATATTGGGAGGTTTTATATTTCCAGGAATTTATCCATTTCCTCTAGATTTTCCAATTTGTGTGCATAGAGTTGTTCAAAATGATCTCTGAGTATCTTTTGTATTTCTGTGGGATTCATTGTAATGTCATCTTCTTCATTTTTTATTGTATTTATTTTGGTCTTCTTTTTTCTTCATGGTTATGTAGCTAGCAGTCTATCAACCTTTTTTATTCTTTCAAAAAACCACCTTTTGGCTTTATTGGTCCTTTCTATGGAATTTTGCATCTCAATTTTTTTCAGTTCTTTTCTAATTTTAGTAATTTTTTTTTCTTCTGCTAGCTTTGGGGTTGGTTTGTTCTTTTCTTTCTAGTTCTAGGTGCAAACTTTGATGGTTAATCTGAGATCTTTCTAACTTCTTGATGATGACGTTTAGCACTATAAATTTCCCTTAACACTGCTTTGGCTGTATCACAGATATTTCGGTAAATTGTGTCCCTATTTTAATAAAAAATTCAGATAATTTTTTAATTTTCTGCTGTAATTTGATGTTTACCCAGGTATCAGGAGCATTTCTATGTATTTGTGTAATTTTAAGAGATCTTCTTGATATTCATTTCTATTTTTATTAAACTGTGGCCTGAGAATGGGCTCAGCATGACTTTTTTAAATTTATTGAGACTTGCTTTATGACTGAGCATGTGGTCAATCTTGGAATATGTTCCACGTGCCAAAGAGAAGAAGGAAGTTATATTCTGTTGTTGTTGGGTGGAATATTTTGTAGGTGTCTGTTAGGTCTAGTTGGTCAAACGTTGAGTTGAAGTCCAGGATTTTTTGGTTAATTTTCTGCCTCAGTGATTTGTCTAACACTCTCAGTAGGGTGTTGAAGTCTCCCACTATTATTGCATGGCTATCTACATCTTTTTATAGGTTAAGAAGAACTTGTTTTATGAATCTGGGTGCCTCAATGTTGGGAACATATATGTTTAGAATATAAACATATTCAGGTGGAGCAAAGCACTCAGGCTTGGCAGTGGAGGCTGCACTGTGCACATGCTTCTGCAGGGTGGCTAGGCAGGGGCCTTCGGAGGGGCTACAGGTAGGAGGGCCTGCAGAACAGATGCACCCCAGTCCCATGGCAAAGGTGGTCCCACTCTCTCCAGGCCCAACAGTTAAGTCTTCTCACTGAATTGTATCCTTTATTATTATGTAATGCCCTTCTTTGTCCCTCTTCATAGTTGTTGATTTAAAGTCTGTTTTATCTGATATAAGAATAACAACTCATGCTCTTTTTTGTTTTCCATTTGTGTGACAGATCTTTCTTTATCCCTTTACTCTGAGCCTGTGGGTGTAGTTACATGTGAGGTAGGTCTCTTAAAGACAGCAGATAGTTGGGTCTTGTCTTTTTATCAATCTTGCTACACTGTGTCCTTTAAGTGGGTTGTTTAGTCCATTTACATTCATGGTTAGTATTGATATGCGAGATTTTTATCCTGTCATTGTGTTGTTAGCTGGTTATTATGTAGACTTGATAGTGTAGTTGCTTTATAGTGTCTTTATGTGCATAAGTATGTTTTTTTTTTTTTTTTTGTAGCAGGTGTTGTTCTTTTGATTGTAGGTTTAGAGCTCCCTTAAGAATCTCTTGTAAGGAGGCATATCTGGTTGTGATGAATTTCCTCAGCATTTGCTTGTCTGAGAAATATTTTATTTCCTCTTTGTTTATTAAGCTTAGTTTGATGGGATTTGAAATTCTTGGTTAGAATTTCTTTTCTTTAAGGATTCTGAAAAAGGCCCCTAATCTCTTCTGGTTTGTCAGGTTTCTGCTGAGAGGTCTGGTGTTAGCCTGATGGGGTTCTCTTTACATATGACATGACCCTTCTTTCTAGCTGGCTTTAAGATTTTTTTTCCTTCATGCTGACCTTGGCAAATCTGATGACTATGTTTCTTGGGATGGTCATGTTGTATTTTATCTAGCTGGGGTTCTCTGTATTTCTTGAATTTGCATGTCAACCTCTCTAGTGAGATTAGGGAAATTTTCATGGAGTATATCCTCAAATATATTTTCCAAGCTGTTCACTCTCTTTCCCTCCTCTCGGGAATGCTAGTGTGTCAGAAGTTTTGTTTCTGTACATAATCTCATATTTCTTGGTGGTTTTGTTCAGTTTTAAAGATTTTTTCTTTCTGACTTTGTTCATTTGAAGGACCAGCCTTTGAGCTCTGAGATTCTTTCCTCAGCTTGGTCTATTCTGTTAATACTGTTATACTGTCATATTATGAAATTATTGTAGCAAATTTTTCAGTTCTAGAAGTTTAGTTTGGTTCCTTCTTAAAATGGCTATTTCATCTTTCAGCTCTTGAATCATTTTACTGGATTCCTTGGATTGGATTTTAACTTTCTCCTAAATCTCAATGAGCTTCTTGCCATTTGGATTCTGAATTCTATGTCTGTCATTTCAGTCTGGTTAAGGACCACTGCTGGGGAGATAGTGGGCTGATTTTGAGGTAAGGGGACACCCTGGCTTTTTGAACTGCTGGGGTTCTTGCATTGATTCTTTCTCTTCTGGTGGGAGGGGGGCTGGTTTTCTTTTAAATGTGGTGTAAGTTGAATATAGTCAGTTGAGTTCATTTCTGGATGTTTTCAGAGGTCCGTGGCTCTGTACAGGATCTTTATGTATGGGCAAAGTCTTGCACTTGGTTTCACAGGGGTGTATATTAGCAGAATCATTTTTGGTGCTGTAGTTGGGGCTGAGATCTAGTCATTGATGCTTAAGTAGTGACTGGTACATAGGCTGTTACTCAGCTCTTTTGCATGTCCTTCCATTTGCAGGCATGTTCTATGGTGAGTGGAGTGGGAGAGAAAACTCCTCACCAGATCTGCTCTTGGGCCTTTAGGGACCCCACCCTGATCACTGGCATCATTTCTGTGTTTCGTTAGGTGTTCCAGGCTGTGGGGCTTCCTTGGGCAGAGGCCATGGCAGGGAGATGGGCCACACCCTTTCCAGACCAACCCTGCAGAGGGAGGCACACCTTGCTCCCAAGCTGGCCCATGAACCCACACATCTTGCCCCCTTTATGTTCTGATATTGGGGGCCTCTCCTCTACTTGCCTGTCAGCCACAGATCTCAGCTGCATGCTCCCAAGCTGTGTGCTGCAGCCCTGGGGCACGGGGATGATCTGTGGCTTGGGGTCAAGCTCCAGCTGCACTGAGGGATCTGAAGTGCTCCCAGGTTACTGGGAATGTACTCAGGTGGAGCAAAGCACTCCGGCTTAGTGGTGGAGGCTGTGCTGTGCTCATGCTCCTGCAGGGTGGCTAGGCAGGGGCCATGGGAGGGGCTGGCAGGCAGGAGAGCCTGCAGAACAGATGCACCCCAGTCCCATGGCAAAGCTGGCGCCACTCTCTCCAGGTCCAGCAGTCAGCTGGGGCTACAGCCTCTCAGAAGAAGATGGGGAGCCCTTGGGGATGGGCACCTGCGGTCATGCGCTGCCAGAGCTGCCCCATGCACAAAAGCTCCTGGGCTTCACACTGGCTGAAGCCCTGTCTCTGCCTGCTCCCTGCTAGCCTACAAATCCATGAGGGACATGGGGTACCCTGTAGCTATGATCCCAGAGGTCCATGGCAAAAGCGGGATGTTCCTTAGTCCCCTTACTTACCCCTTCCCCAGGAGCCACTCAGGGTCAGGAACTAGCCCTAATGTTCAGGCACCTCATGCAGAGATTCCAGCTTCCTCTCTCTTCAGCTTTGGTGTCAGTGTTGCCTCTCCATCCACTCTTGGTGCTTTCTCTCCAAAGATCTGCCCAAATTATCACATTTATTATTAATTGATTTTCTATAAGGGTGTCCAGACAATTCAGTGGGTAAATAGTCTTTTTATCAAATAGTGTTGGAGAAACTGGAGAGCCACATGCAAAAGAATGAATTTGGACCCCTACCTTACATCATACAAAAAAATTAAATTAAAAAGGATCGTACAGCTAAATGTGAAAGCTAAAACCCTTAGAAGAAAACACAAGAATAAGCCTTTATGACCTTAAATTAGGGAATGATTTCTTAGATATGACACCAAAAAGAAAAGTGTTTTTAAAAAAGAGAACTTCATCAAAATTAAAAACTGCTCTACTTCAAAAGACACCATTGATATAATGAAAAAACAACCCAGAGAATGGGGGAAATATATGTCACATGTCTAACTTATCAAATCATATACCTAATATGGACAGCATAGATAAAGAGGTAGAGAATTTCAGACTTGAGCTGGAAACTATATAAGAATGTGGCAAAATGCAAATACTAAACACACACACACACACACACACACACACACACACACACACACACACACACACAGAGAGAGAGAGAGAGAGAACATATAAAGTCAGTAATTTGGAGGTCAGTCCCATATAGGGAAGTGATAGATTACTGAGCCTACAGGAGATCCTAAAGGGCAATGATATAAACAAACTAGAAGTTATGCTGCAAAGCCCACATTCATGGAAAAGGAAAATCCAGGAATCATAGAAAAACAGAATGATCACAGTAGTAGAAGAATCATCATCAGTTTATACCAGATAGTGTTTGAAGCCTCTGTTCATTCTAGGAGTATGAACAGTTTAAAAATAAAATTTATAGTGGGGGTATTAGGCCATGAGCTTTTCAAACCTCTTTGAATTTTGAAAAGTGTGTTTTCATTATCTGAAGTGAATGTTTTCATTATCTGAAGTGAAATAACTCAGAAACAGAAAGTCAAATACTACATGTTCTCACAAGTGGAAACTAAGTATACACATGGACATAAGGAGTGGGTAATAGACACTGGAAACTTGGAAGGGTAGAAGGGGGCTAAGAAATGAGAAATTACTTAATGGGTACAATGTACACTATTTGGGTGATGGCTAAACTAAAAGCCCAGACTTCACCACTATGTAATATATGCATATAAGAAAACAACACTTGTACCTTCTAAATCAATTTATAAAATAATACATATTATACAATTATATGTATGTGTGTGTATATATATATATATAACCAGTGCAAAGTGAGGGAAGATACCTTCTTCTGAGAGTCAACTGTTAAGTTTTCTATTCATTTTATTTTTGATTTATGGTAACTTTCTCATTCATCAGGAATAATCCTAGCCACAGTCTTCAGGAGACAGAGACCAAGCAATTCTGAATGACTATAAAGCAAATAGCCCATGCCAAAGATGATTTCTTTGGTTTAAAACACATTTGCAGGACAGATTTTGAAACTGTACTCACTTGTTAATTTTCTCTTTTATAATTTCCCTTTTCTTTTGTAGGTTGGCAATCAAAACCAACATCTAGACAGTGCCAACCTTGATGCTTGATGAAGTGGTTAAGAGCATTCCTGGGCCGGGCGCGGTGGCTCACACCTGTAATCCCAGCACTTTGGGAGGCCAAGGTGGGCGGATCACGAGGTCAGGAGATCTAGACCATCCTGGCTAACAGGGTGAAACCCCGTCTCTACTAAAAATACAAAAATTAGCCGGGCATGGCGGCGTGCTCCTGTAGTCCCAGCTGCTAGGGAGGCTGAGGCAGGAGAATGGCGTGAACCCGGGAGGCAGAGCTTGCAGTGAGCCGAGATGGCGCCACTGCACTCCAGCCTGGGCGACAGAGTGAGACTCCATCTCAAAAAAAACAAAAAAACAAAAAACAAAAAAAGAACACCACATTTCTAGAAGTCACACATATACCAATTGCAAATTGCAAAGCCTTTTTCCAATTAGAAGGAACAAAAAGTCTATGCTAGGTATAAAAATAAAGTGTGTATTTTCCCAATACAATTTAAAATTGGGAAATAAACTATTTCATCTTAAATTTTAATCATAAAAAGATAACTAATAGCATATTACAAATATTGACATGTAACAACTAAATACTAAATACATCCAATGGAATATGAATGCATGACAATTTGCTAATCACAATAATTCATTTAATAAATATGCAAAGAAGCTCTTTTTTAGCAATTGGGAACATTGTATCTTTTTTCTTTTTAAAACTTTAGTTTTTATTCAAACTTCTCTGCAAAATTTGATCCTAATGTACTATATTTTTGTGTTTGCAAGTCTTTTATTAATCATTCTATCACATTTCTCTGTGACAAAACATAGACATACATTGTAGCTTATTGTGAAATCTCTTTGAACATAAGACTCTAATGTTTACACAGTTCTTTTAACCTCTTCCAAGTGATATGCTAAAAAATTTCATAGTAGGCTATTATTAAAGTTTATCTTCAAAGATCTATTTAATATTAACCATCAACTTGATTGACACCCCATCATTGCTTTTGTAAACAAAAAAATTAAAAACACTTTTATTTCCAAAGGATTTTTATTCAAAGTCTATGATTATTCACTTTCTGAATACCAGCACTAGTATTTCAATTGTCCACTGGAGGTTTGTTCACTCAGGGCAATCCATGATTGTCAGATAAAGGGTGGGTGAGAGGTAAGTTTTCTTTTCAGAGTGGGAGAAGGAAAATTGAGAAATTGGAGTTATAAAAGAAGAGCCTGTTAAGAATGCTCCAAAACATCATAAGAAATTTGGAACTTGAGGGTCTGAAATTTTATTCCTTTAAACTATCAATATGTATAGCTTGAAAAATCTTTTTGTAACCAGTATTGCAGTTTGAAGACTACTGTTTTATATTATATAACCTTCTCATATATATTAAGATAACTGCCTGAATAATTTGTTCTCAAATTTTTATTGAGCATTTCTCATGTGTGACGCACTGTTCTTGCAGTTTGGATCACATAGGTCAACAAGACCAAGAGATGAGGACTATATGTACATTATAGCAGGGGTGTTAGGCCATAAGTTAGTAAAAAAAATCAGAGAGAGAGTAAATACTCAAAATGATTTCAGAGTTCAAATGATGGGAAGAAAATAATACAAAGTAGAATGGAAGGTGTTCTGCATGCTCAAGGAGTGTGTTTCAGGAAATGACAGTTGAGGCAAAAATATGGAAAAAGAGCACCCTAGACTGATTCTGTGAAAAGCCAATGTATGACCTATGTGATGAGGTATAGCCATGAAAAATGGAAAAATAGCTTGCTAGACAGAAGTACACTGAAGTGAGGGTGATCAACTTGTCCCAATTTACTCTGGATTTTCTTGATTTTAGCTCTCTAATTCCCATGTTCTGGGAAGCCCCTCAGTCCCAATCAAATCTGAATGATGGACACCCTAACTGGTGGTCTAAGACCTATTAGAATATGAGGTCTACTGAAAGGTCAGTGGTCTGATGGTCAACATCCAAACTACAGCCATAGTCACTGGCAGCTTGGCTTGGATCACATAAAAAATAATTAGAGGAAAAAACCTTTTTGATTTTGAGACATTCTGGCATCTGATATTGTGGCTTTCAGTAGCGCCCAAGCCTCAGCCCAATTTATTAATAACTAATCAGTTCTTTTGCATTTCCTGAGGAGTGTTTTACTTCCAATTATGTGGTCGATTTTAGAATAAGTGTCATGTGGCACTGAGACGAATGTACATTCTGTTGATTTGGGGTGGAGAGTTCTGTAGATGTCTATTAGGTCCACTTGATCCAGAGCTGAGTTCAAGTCCTCAATATCCTTGTTAATTTTCTGTCTCATTGATCTGTCTAATATTGACACTGAGTGTTAAAGTCTCCAACTATTATTGTGTGGGAGTCTAAGTCTCTTTGTAGGCCTCTAAGAACTTGTTTTATGAATCTGAGTGCTCCTGTATTGGGTGCATATATATTAGGATAGTTAGCTCTAGTTGTTGAATTGATCACTTTACCGTTATGTAATGCTCTTGTCTTTTTTGATCTTTGTTGGTTTAAAGTCTGTTTTGTCAGAGACTGGGATTGCAACCCCTGCTATTTTGTTCTTTCTATCTGCTTGGTAAATTTTCCTCCATCCCTTTATTTTGAGCCTATGTGTGTCTTTGCATGTGTGATGGGTCTCCTGAATACAGCACACCAATGGGTCTTGACTCTATCCAATTTGCCAGTCTGTGTCTTTTAATTGGGGCATTTAGCCCATTTACATTTAAGGTTAATAGTGTTATGTGTGAATTTGATCCATATTTAATAAATGGTGCTGAGAAAACTGGCTAGCCATATGGAGAAAACTGAATCGGGACCCCTTCTTTACACCTTATACAAAAATTAACTCAAGATGGATTAAAGACTTAAATGTAATACCCAAAACCATAAAAACCCTAGAAGAAAACCTAGGCAATACCATTTAGGACATAGGCATGGGCAAAGACTTCATGAAGAAAATACCAAAAGCAATTGCAACAAAAGCCAAAATTGTCAAATGGGATCTAATTAAATGAAAGAGCTTCTGCACAGCAAAAAAAACTATCATCAGGGTGAACATGCAGCCTACAGAATGGGAGGAACGCTTTGCAATCTACCCAGCTAACAAAGGTCTAATATCCAGAATCTACAAGAACTTAAATTTACAAGAAAAAAAAAACATCAAAAAGTGGGCAAAGGATATGAACAGACACTTCTCAAAAGAAGACATTTATGCAGCCAACAAACGTATGAAAGGAAGCTCAACATCACTGATCATTAGAGAAATGCAAATCAAAACCACAATGAGATACTATCTCATGCCAGTCAGAATGGCAATTATTAAAAAGTCAAGAAACAATAGATGCTGGCAAGGCTGTGGAGAAATAAGAATACTTTTACACTGTTGGTGGGAATGTAAATTAGTTCAACCATTGTGGAAGACAGTGTGGCGATTCCTCAAGGATGTAGAACCAGAAATACCATTTGACCCAGCAATCCCATTACTGGGTATATATCCAAAGGAATATAAATCATTCTATTATAAAGACACATGCACACGTATGTTTACTGCAGCACTATTTACAATAGCAAAGACATGGAACCAACCCAAATGCCCATCAATGATAGACTGCATAAAGAAAATGTGGTACATATACACCATGGAATACTATGCAGCCATAAAAAGGAATGAGATCATGCTCTTTGCAGGGACATGGATGAAGCTCGAAGCCATCATCTTCAGTAAACTAACACAGGAACAGAAAACCAAACACCACGTGTTCTCACTCATAAGTGGGAATTGAACAATAAGAACACATGGACACAGGGAGGGGAACGTGACACATGGGGGCCAGTCAGGGTGTGTGGGGAAGGGGAGGCAGAGCATTAAGACAAATAGCTAATGCATGCGGGACTTAAAACCTAGATGATGCGTTGATAGGTGCAGCAAACCATCATGGCACATGTATACCTATGTAACAAACCTACATGTTCTACACTTCTATCCTGGAACTTAAAAAAAATAATAATCAGCCGGGCACAGTAGCTCACACCTGTAATCCCAGCATTTTGGGAGGCCAAGGCGGATGGATCATGAGGTTAGGAGATCGAGACCATCCTGGCTAACATGGTGAAACCCCTCTCTACTAAAAATACAAAAAATTAGCCAGGTGTGGTAGTGGGTGCCTGTAGTCCCAGTTACTCGGGAGCCTGAGGCAGGAGAATGGCGTTAACCCAGGAGGCAGAGCTTGCAGTGAGCCGAGATCATGCCACTGCACTCCAGCTTGGGCGACAGAGCTAGACTCTGTCTCAAAAAAAAAAAAAAACCTAATCAACTTTATAGTTAATAACCGCTTCTCTGTAGTATCATAGAAGACACTTACTGACCCACCTGTTGCCATACAAACAGCAGTCACATGCGTACAGCCATACAAAGCATAGAAACACTGCACACAACTAACATTCATGGACAACACAGAGACCTGAAGAGGCATGTTATGAGGCTGCCATACTTGGAAGTTGGAATTCTAAGTGGAAAGAAGATTGGAAAGATAAGTAGAATTTGAGATGCAGCTTTTAATTTAATATGATGTACTCTCAAGGCAAGTCCCACTTTTATCTCTATCCAGTTAGATCAGTGCTTGTGTTGAATGAAAGAATTAGCTTCTGACTCTGTTAGTTACCAGCTAGAACCTTAAACAAAATTTGACGTCATGACACAGAAAAGTATTTAGGGTCAGAACTTACAATAAAAGGTGGAGGGTAGAGAAGGGAACATTCATCTGGAACTTTCTATATGCTTTTATATGTTCTCCTATATACGATAGTAGTGGGCCAGGCACTGTTAAAGTAAAAATTCTTGTCTTAGTCATAAGAGGCAGCTCCAAACAATGGTCTTCGTTTTTGTTTTTGGCATGGAAAAATACATAGATATACAAATGTTCACTTAAGACAAAAATTAGCTCATATATTTGAGTACATCGGAGGAAGACAGATAAAGAATTTAAGTCCAATTAAGAGAATCCTTGTATCTTCTATACATTTCTGTCTACACATTTCTAATTGTAAGGCAACTCTCTTGGCTGTTGTGTTGGTAGTAGCAATTATGTCCATCCCCATGGTCATCCAATCCCTGATGGAATTTTCCTGGTGAAATTGGATTGGTAGAATCAGCTCTTTGGATATTATTTCCAGCAGTATTTCTAGTTGTTCCATACCAGAAGTAAATGTTAATTAATTATGAGTAAGAGCTGTCTGAGAAGGTGGTGGCATAGTCTCGGAAGTAGCAGTCTCAGATGGTGGCATAGTAGTCTCGGGAGTAGTGGCCTCAGATGGTGGCATAGTAGTCTCAGGAGTATTGGTCTCAGGTGTCATGGTTTCTCCAAATTTAGTTGTGTCAAATGTTATCAGATCATTCAACATAGATACTGGGGAACCAGTAAAAGAGTCCACATCACTATAATCCAATGTTATATCCTCTAGGTGAATCACAGGAAATGCTGGTCGTCGAGTATATTCATGTGATATTATAGAAATGCAGCATGATAGCTTGTTCCTACAAAGAAGTATGTACCTTTCAGTATCTAAACATCGTCTTCTGCAATGTCCTACATTATTCTTCCAACATTTTTGGGGTTCAAAGCTACCTGTAGAGAATAAAATATAGGTCAAATTTTTAACTCTGGCATCAACATAACAACTTTTCATTCATTCAAAAATTTACACTGACTGACATCTAGACTAATATGATGTCAAATACAAAAAGCCATTGTAAGAGACAAACAGGAGAACAAAAAGTGTATATTAAAATTGTGCTATGTGCCATCAAAGAAGTTGTATGGAGAAAAGGAGAAATGTAGAAAAAGAGAGGGACGGAGAGAGAGAGAGCATACTGAGACTGATACGAAACCTAGAAAGAAAGGATGAAAATGAAAAGCCCAGGACCAGATGGATTCACAGCTGAATTCTACCAGATATACAAAGAAGAGCTGGTATCATTCCTACTGAAACTATTCACCCAAAATTGAGAAGGCAGGACTCCGCTTTAACTTATTCTATGAGGCCAGCATCATCCTGAGACCAAAACCTAGCAGAGACACAAGAAAAAAAAAATTTCAGGCCAGTATCCTTGATGAACATCAGTGCAAAAATCCTGAACAAAATAGTAGCAAACTGAATCCAGCAGCACATCAAAAAGCTTATCCACTACGATCAAGTAGCCTTTATCCTTGGAATGCAAGGTTGGTTCGACATATGCAAATCAATAAATGTGATTGCTTATGGATAGCATTTAAAGTACAGAAATTGGTAAACCATGGTGGGTTGGAATAATATGAGAAAAAAAGAGGACTAGAATTAAATTCTAGTGAGTTTCAATATTAAGAGATAAGAGATCAGATAAGAGGAAACGACTTAAAAGGACCAATAAGATAAGTCAGATCAAAACAGGAGAATAAGACTCTAGAGTCTTAAAGCAGACCCCCAGCAGAGCAGAGCTCCAGCAAAGATTTGAATATAATAGTTTAGTTGAGAGACAATTCCTCCTTAAAAAAAATCAGTGGAGAAATGTAGAAATCAGGAAAGCAAGAAATCCAAGAAAAGGTGAGTTATAACCTGTTATTATCATGAGATCATCTATCAACTGCTGGCCAGCAGGATGGCTGTGTTCTGTTTGCTCAGAGGACAATCCCACAGGGAAGCCCAGCAGCCAGGCTACAAATAAGCCTCAGACTCATGGATGAGCCTGGGGGACATGTTACATTCCGTTATGTGAAATAGACACAAAAAGATAAATACCACATGTTTTCATTCATAAGCAGGAGCTAAAAAAGTTGAGTTCATAGAAGTAGACTGTAGAATAATGATTACTAGAGGCTGGGAAGGGAAAGGAGGATAGAGAGAGGTTGGTTAACAGATAGAAAATTACACCTAGATAGGAGGAAAAAGTTCCAGCATCCTATAGCAGGGGTCCCCAACCCCTGGGCAGCCAATGGGTACTGGTCCATGGCCTGTTAGGAACCAGGCTGCACAGCAAAAGGTGAACAGCAGGTGTGCAAGCATCACCACCTGAGCTCCATCTCTTGTCAGATCAGCCAAGGCATTAGAGTCTCATAGGAGCATGAACCCTATTGTGAACTGTGCATGTGAGGGATCTAGGATGTGTGTTCCTTGTGAGACTCTAATGCCTGATGACCTGAGGTGGAACAGTTTCATCCTGAAACCATCCCCACCACCACCTTCACCTCGTCGAAAAAACTGTCTTCCACAAAACTGGTCCCTGGTGCCAAAAGGGGTCCACTGTTCTATAGCACTGTAGGGTGACGGTAGTTAACAATCATTTACTGTATATTTTCAAATAGCTAGAAGAGACGATTCTGAATGTTCCCAATATAAAAAAATGACAAATGTTTGAGGTGATAGATATGCTAATTACCCTGATTTGATCATTACACATTGTATACATGTATCAAAATATCACTCTGCATCTTCTAAATATGAACAATTATTACACATCAACTAAAAGTAGAAGAAAAAATAGCATTTAGTTTTTATTAAAAAAAAACCAAAAAACTTAAAAAAATGTTTAATTGGGCATCAGGTCCTGAAGGTGCAGTGTTACAGAAAAACCTTGAAGAATGAAAGGGTGCACAGTTACAGTAAAAACCTTGAAGAACTAACATCCATTTATGTTTTCTTCCCATAATAGCCTTGAACTGCAAATAAGGGAATTACCACAGGAAAAAAAAAATATTACCAAGCCTCAAAGTTATTCTACATGAGGCTCAAAGGACCTGGACTATTTATCCAGCTTCCCCCATAGTTGACAGATGATCCAGAGACAGCTGATAATTTTCTGGCATTTCTGGATTGCCCTGTACAGGGGTATTTCACAAGCAGTTGTTGAAAGACTGGAGATACTGACAATTGCAAGTTGGGCTGATATGCATGAAAACAGAAAATGCATAAAAGGTTATGGGGAAAGTTGTATCAGATGTGACTACATTAAGCAGGAGAGGAGACTGTTTCTTAAAGGACAGAGTGGTCATTTTGTAGTCAAATACTGCTGAGAGGTTAAAAAAAAATGATGAAGGCAGGAAAATGTCCATGCTTTTAGTAGTATGAAGGTAACTTCATACTGAGGAGAGCAGCTTCCGAGTGGTATGAAAAAAGAAACCAAATTGCAGTTGGTCAAAATGTGAATGAGAGAGAAGTGAATGCAGGACCTGTAGATGAAACTCTTAAGAAGTTTAGATCCAAAGAAAAGCAGAGAAATAAATAACTTGTTAGAGAGCAATGTAAGGTTAAGGGAAAGCTTTCAGGTTTGTTTTGAAGAACGAGAAATACCAAATGGTGCTTGCAAGCAATGAGAAAAGAGACAAGCAGTCTGGGCGCAGTGGCTCACACATGTAATCCCAGCACTTTGGGAGATCGAGGCGGGCAGATCACCTGAGTTCAGGAGTTCGAGACCAGCCTGGCCATGGTGAAACCCTGTCTCTACTAAAAAATACAAAAATTAGCTGGGCATGGTGGCGAGCACCTGTAGTCCCAGCTACTCAGGATGCTGAGGCAGGAGAATCACTTGAACCTGGGAGGCGAAGGTTGCAGTAAGCCAAGATTGTGCCACTGCATTCCAGCCTGGGCAACAAGAGCAAGACTCCATCTCAAAAAAAAAAAAAAAAAAGCAGAAAAGGAGAGATTAATATAGAATAGGGTGATGAGATGACAGAAGGGCATAGTCACAAATTCACACAGAGCAGACTGATCTTTAGATGGAGAAGACACGTTTCTCCATTTATGGCAAAGGGGACAGAGGAAATGAGTGAAAACTTCCTATTTGAATTGTTTAAATAAATGGGGCATGGGATAAACTGAGGGGGAGAGCCATGTAGAGGAGAGGAGCAGGAAAATAAAAGACAAATAAAGGTCAGGACAAAATAGTTGTCTAAAAAAGAGGGAAGATGGCTGGGTGTGGTGGTACAAACCTGTAATCCCAGCACTTTGGGAAGCCGAGGAGGGTGGATCACAGGGTCAGGAGATCGAGACCATCCTGGCCAACCTGGTGAAAACCTGTCTCTACTAAAAATATAAAAATTAGCTGGATGTGGTGGCACATGCCTGTGATCCCAGCTACTCGGGAGGCTGAGGCAGGAGAATCACTTGAACCAGGGAGTTGGCGGTTGCAATGAGCCGAGATTGGGCCACTGCAGTCCAGCCTGGTGACAGAGAAAGACTCTGTCTCAAAAAAAAAAAAAAAAGAAGGAAGGTTCATTTACAAGAGAAATGCAGTAGGATTTCCAAGCAGTGTGACTACTCATTTGAGGGGTGAGGATATAAATCTAAAGGGAAACTAGTGTGCTGCATTGTATGTTCATTTATCAAGCAGTAAACGGCATGATCATCTTTCTCAAGACAATTGCCCAAGGAGTACCTAGATAAGTGTATTCTAGGCAGAGGAAGCAGCTAGAGATAAGGCTCTATGGAGGAGGAAGCCTGGTATATGTGCAGAAGAGCAAGTAATTTTCTAAACAACCTTATTTGAACTTAATGTGATAATATATATAAAACATATATAGATGTATGTATGTATGTATATATTAGGCTCACAATAATTTGGTTTATATTTTATCCTCTGGGAAATGTTGGCTCTAGTCCAGCTTCACCAATTATTTATTCTACCTTCACTCCTCTAGAGTCATTTATTCTATCTTTGTTATTTTACTGGCTCGATTTTACTTTGTACTTCGTGGAATTTTCTATAAGTTTCAAGTCTAGACCTTCCACTTCTTTTGTGCAAGACAGACTCTAACCTTGCTTCTTCGTTCCTCACATCTACAAAGATTTATATCTTAATTTTTTTCCTCCAGCATTATCCATACTTGAAATATGTCATCTTGGCTCTCTTCTTCTCCTTTGTCTTTGAATCGCCTTGTTCTGTCAATTATTCTTCAAAATTGTTTCTCACTTACATTCCTTCCTACTGCTTTTAAATTATCCCCTCCATTCTTAAATTAGGCTATAGTCACACAGTCATCAAAGTTTTGGGCCCCTACTATGGCACAGGCACTATCCTGGGCCCTTGAGGTACATCTGTGAACTAAACAGACAAAAATCACATGGAGCTGACTTTCTAGCAGAGGGAGACAGATAATAAAAAGTAAATGCACTCCCTGCTAGACTGTATGGTTTTACAGACTTAAATCTAAGACCTGAAACTATGGAACTACCTGAAAAAAACATTAGGGAAACACTTCAGGACGTTGGTCTTGGCAAAGATTTCTTGGGTAAGACCTCAAAAGCACGGGCAACCAAAGCAAAAATAGGCAATTAGGATTACATCAAACTAAAAAGCTTGTGCACAGCAAAGGAAATAATCAACAAAGTGAAGATGTAGCCCACAGAGTAGGAGAAAATATTTGCAAGCTATCCATCTGACGAGGAATTAACAACAAAAAGTATATTAATATAAGGAGCTCAAAAAACTCCATAGCAAACAAAAACAAATAATCTGATTTTAAAACAGGCAAAAGATTTGAATAGACATTTCTCAACAGAAGACATACAAACAGCCATCAGGTATACATAAAAATATGGTAAAAACATGGTAAGGATGGTAATTTTTAAATGTATATTTTACCTTAATAAAAAAGTACATTATTTTGTAGATGAAAAGGTGACAAATGGTTTGCAGAAAGAAGGGAGAATAGATTTAAGGGTAATAGAAGATTCATAAACAGGAGTTGCACAAGCCTGTGTAACAAGGTGATGATTAAACAGCTTGAAGGAGGTAAAGGAATTAGTCACACCAGTATCTGAGGCAAGTACATTCTAGGCAGAGGAAACAAACAAAGCTCTATGGGTTGAGTAAGTCTGATATGTTTGGGGAAGAGCACTGGGGCTTGTGTGGCTGTAGTGGAGTGAACAAGGACTATAATAGTAGGAGATGAGGTGAGAGAGGTCATAAGGGCCAGATCCTGCAGGGCCAGGTGAGCCACTGTATGGACTCTTGTTACCGCTCTGAGTATAGAGGGGGCCATAGCAGAGTTTTGAGCAAAAGTACATGATCTGACTTCCAGTGTAAGCGGATCATGCACTATGTGTCTTCACAAGATGGTGGCAGGGAAGAGCAGAAGGACAGATCTCATGAGGAAGCTATGGCAATAACACAGGTGAGAGATGATGGTGACTAGAATCAGAGTGGCAGCAATGGAGGTGGCGAGAATAATTGCATTCTGGATATAATTTGCAGGCAGATGTAATAGACTTCCTGATAGATATGAGTGTCATAGGATATAGAAAAATCATAGATAATTCCAAGAATTTGGTTTTAGCAGTAGAATGATGGCAATTGGGAATAATTCATAATTTTTTTTTTCTAAAGTGACAACAGTCATTTTTTTCAAAGAACTTCAGTCTGGAACTATTATGTTGTTAGGACATGTGATCTTCATCACCAGTATCTCGAAATCCTAAAATTAGAAATATGACTAGCAATTGTATGTTTCTAAGTAGGGGAGCCATCTAGCCAAAACATTATCCCATGTGTGGAGTTCTTTCTAAAACATACCAGATATATAATCAGCTAGCATCAACTTAAAATATATCTATGGATACCAGTCCACTGATAGCTTGGCTTGGTAAAAAGTTGCTTCACAAGCCATCAGGTGCTATCTCACTTGAAAACACATAATATAAAGCCCAGAGAGACTAAATAGCTAAATTTCAAAACAAAACCTATAAGAGAACACAAAAATGAAAATCTCTAAATCAAAAGAAATGAAAACTACCTCTCCAAAATAAAAGAGAAAGAGAGACATAGACAATTTGTAGAAAAGTTAAATATACATTAAGCATGTATTTGAAGTTCGACTTCCCCATTACTCACAGACATAAATAAAAATTAAATATTTATATATAATATTTCATTTTTAGGACTTGGCAAGTATTCAAAAATTGATAACACATGAAGCAGACAGAAAAAAGTACATCTCCAGGAATTTTATGCTGAATGATTTATGTATAAGAAAGGTTATACTAGCCATCCTTGTCTATAAAATGTAAATGCACTTATTTATGCAAAAACAATTTGGCTAAGTAATTTAAACAGTATCCATTCTATAAAATTTATACAGTCATTGGAAATACAGTTTTTGAAAATAGTAAATGGGAAAATACTAATAGTATAATAGAAAATTTATAAGTATGCTATACATTTTTATTCAAATAAGAAAACTGAGGAAGAACAATAGATCAAAAATATTTTGTCTCTTTTAACTTCTTTACAATTTTTTTACTTCTTTACAATTTCAAAATTTCCAAATTTTCAACAAATACAGCAGTTTATAATCAGAAATGAATGTAGATATTAATTCTGTAACTCACATTACATCAACATGTGAATCAAGACATAACAGATCATAGGCACAGTTATAACCATTTAATAGACATGAATAGCATCTTTCTAGGCAACATATAACACCTCCAAATTTAACAAAAGCCAAATTTCTTAGTATATAAAGATAATTAAGAAAGTTTAGAAATCTAATGGACTGGATGTTCAAACTCATTTATAACTAAAGTGTCATGAATTCAAACATCAGGACATCATTTTCACATATTAGACTGTAAAACTGAATGTAGTAGAAAACTGAATGTAGTAGAAAAAACAAAAAGGACTGATGAGGGTGTGGGAAGCTGACACTCTTGCAACTGGTGATAGGAGAGAAGAATAGTTCAGCTTTTCTGGTAGGTGGTTTGACTGTGTGTGTGTGTGTGTGTGTGTGTGTGTCCACGTGTCCAGTCATAAATGAAAAGACATACATTTGTTTACAAATTTTTCTTGCTGAATTGTTTTTGATAATTAAAGACCTATTTTTCATCAGTAGCGGAGTAATTAATGTGAGGCAATTCATCTGCTCCTCCTCAAAGTTTTACTTATCGATTAAAAATAATGAACTAGGTTTATGTATGGATAAGATGTCTCTAATATATTGCTAGTACATTGCAGAACAATTCACATGGTGCATTTGCAATTGCATTTTTTAAAAATCTAAAAGGTATACACATGCAAATATAAATATATTTGTATTTGCTAGGATATATAAGAAATTGGTAACATTGATTGATTCTGAAGGGGAAGACTGAAGAACTGGTATTCTTGGACAGACAAACATTTTTCTTTTCCTTAAACCCTATAAATCCATCGATTGCTTGATACATAAGTCAATTGCAAGTATTATTTTTTAATAAAAAGTTAACAATTTTCAAAAGTAGCATTATTAAATAGTGGAAACAGACTGTTCCTATTCATCTAAAATTAGAAGCTCCCCATTGGTCACTAGTCTGTCTATCCTGTCTTCACTCCACTTATTTCCACTTCTACCCCAAACATATATATTGTCTCTTCCATATGATAGTGCTACAGAATCTACAAACTGTCAATGGACTTGTTCACCATATCTAAGAACATGAAAGTGAGGGCCTCCCTCTGAAGGTACCCTCCGGGCAAAGAAGAATTCAAGATGGTAGGAGAACTAATAGGACACAACAATGAAATAGATACAACAGAATAATCGAAATGGAAGTGAAGTGAGGCTGAACTAACATTGGATAGTTATGTAGAGAGACAGATAGGGTGGCTCAGAGCATTAAGGAAATTCTTGTCTTTGGAGAAATGCCTCAGAGGACATCCCAGCTTGCTAGATGCCCCTAACAGAAAGATTCTCAGAGACTAGGGGCATGGAGCTGCCAAAATAAGAGCATTCTGCTGCTCTTTGTTGGCCCAGATTTTTCCTGCAGATTCCCTCTCTTCCCATCATGATACCAGGGGAGCCCAAGGGCAACAACTCATCCTAGTCATCATCTCTGCTTTATAGGGTTCCATTACCTTTGGTCACCCGAGTTAGCAACCCACAGATAATGAAGGTCAGCATCAGGATATTCATGGCTCCTGGGAGAGAGGAAGCTCTGTGTCCTGAGGAATACAGAACACTGCACAGCAAGGAATTTAAGTGGTCACCTTTACTGGTCTATCATGGGTGATGAACCAGAGAAGGGGAAAATGCCATGCCACCCAGATCACCAGACCATTAATTTGCAACACTGAGTGTGCATGACACAATAACGTCTGCTTCTAGAAATTATTAAAGAAAGCTGAGGCCTTATGAGATAAGCTATTATCCCGTAGAACTGTAAGGTCTGATGGAAAGAAACAGCCCCAAGAGGAAGTTTTTGTTAACTTTAGATGGGCTCAATTGTCCTTCTCCTCTGTCTGTATGCAGCACTTTGTACATACCCAATGACAGCAGAATGGTGTGTAAAGATATCACTTGTGGCAGTTCAATAGCTTACAACATCCGGTATTCACCTTTTCTTCTGAGTGATCACCCCGATATGAATTCCTGTGAAACAAGAAAGACACTTTTTAACTAATAAGTTCATAAGATTCCATCAATTATGAGACAGAAGGAATTTGGAATGAAAATAGTGAAAACAGGAAAACAGGTTTTATTGGTGCTCTTCTTTTTCCCGTTCCGCTGTCCCATCAACTCTTTTCCCTCATTCAGAAATACAAATAAGAAATGAAATATTGAGAGAGAGGAAACATTTTAAAAGGAGAGGGAGAGAGAAAGAGAGAGAGGAGAGAGGCCCAATGTAACATTATGCCCCCCATCCCCACTACCAAAGGAGAAAAATATAGGAGACATTTGTGAAATTGCCCAGTAGGAGTGATCAGCATTTTATCTCCTGGAAGAGTTTGCTGAGCTGTATTTCTCCCACATATGTTTAATACCAAGGAAATCAGGAAAATTTTAAAAAAATTTTCTAAACAGCTGCACTGTTTAGAAAAAAAACTGCAGCTCACTGCCCATGTTCATTTAATTTTACATTAACATGCTCTGGAGGCTGACTGATGTTCAGTGTGAAAATAAAATATACAAACTGTTCTTGGAATTATTTTTAAACAGAACTAACATCAGAATCATCTGAATAATCAGAATCATCTATTTTGGAAAAAACCGGATTCATTAAATGACTCTTTGGCCCAAAACTGTTTGAGAACAATGTTAACATGGGAATGCTATGCTTTCTAGAATTTGACATTTTCAGCGATCAAGAATTTCTATATTTTGTAAATGGAAATACCACTGCTAACAACAAGATGCTATAAATAGAATGATGATTTGTGTTTTCAAAGTCGATATATTAGAACGATGTGAAAATAATAATAAAGGCGAGATATTTTGTGGCAAAGTTATCTCAGGGTAAACCCTGCAGCTGCAAGTGCCACCAGCGAGTATTCTGGGTGAAAATGGGAAAAGGGTTAAAAATGCAGGATGGCCAAAGCCATCCTAAGCAAAAAGAACAAAACTAGAGGAATCACATTACCTCACTTCAAATTATACTACAAAGCTATAGTAACCAAAACAGCATGGTACTAGTATAAAAACAGACACATAGAGCAATGGAAAAGAATAGAGAACACAGAAACAAGTCCACACATCTACAGTAAACTCATTTTTGACAAAGTTGCCAAGAACATACTTTGGGGGAAAAACAGTCTCTTTAAAAAATGGTGCTGGGAAAACTGGATATCCATATGCAGAATAATGAAACTAGACCCCTGTCTTTCACCATATACAAAACATTAAGTCAAATGGATTAAAGACTTAAAGCTAAGATCTCAAACTATGAAACTACTATAAGAAACTGGGGAATCTCTCCAGGATGTTTGGACAAAAATTTCTTGAGTAGCAACCCACAAACAAAGGCAATCGAAGCAAAAATGGACAAATGGGATCACATCAAGTTAAAAAGCTTCTGCACAGCAAAGCACACAATCAACAAAGTGAAAAGACAACCCACAGAATGGGAGAAAATATTTGCAAACGACCCTTCTGACAAGGGATTAATAACAGGAAATACAAAGAGCTCAAACAATTCTATAGGAAAAAAATCTAATGATCCAACTTAAAAATGGGCAAAGTATCTGAATAGATATTCTCAAAAGAAGACATACAAATGGCAAACAGGCAGATGAAAAGGTGCTCAAAATCACTGATCATCAGAGAAATGAAAATCAAGCTACAATGGAATATCATCTCACTCCAGTTAAAATGGCTTTTATCCAAAAGACAGGCAATAGCAAATGCTGGCAAGGATTTGGAGAAAGGGAAACCCTTGTATGCTACTGGTGTGAACGTAAGATAGTACAACCACTATGGAGAACAGTTTGGAGGTTCCTAAAAAAACTGAAAATAGAGTTACCATACAATCCAGCAATCCCACTGCTAGGTACACACTCCCCTCCAAAAGGAAATAAGAATATTGAATAGATATCTGCACACCTGTGCTTGTTGCAGCACTATTCACAATAGCCAAGATTTAGAAGCAACGTAAGTGTCAATCAACAAATGAGTGGATAAAGAAAATGTGGAACTTATACACAGTGGAGTATTATTCAGCCATAAAAAAGAAAGAGATGCTGTCATTTGCAATAACATGGATGGAACTGGAGGCCATTATGCTAAGTGAAATAAGCCAGGAACATAAAGACAAATATTGCATGTTCTCACTTATTTGTGAAATCTAAAAATCAAAACTACTGAATTCAAGGGAGATAGAGAGTAGAAGGATGGTTATCAGAGGCTGGGAAAGGTGGTGGGCGTGTGTGGGAAGGTGAGGATGGTTACTGGGTACAAAAAATAGTTAGAAAGAATGAATAAGACCTGGTATTTAATAGCATAACGAGGTGACTATAGTCAAAAATAATTTAATTGTACATTTTAAAATAATAAAGTATAATTAGATAATTTGTAACACAAAGGATAAATGCTTGAGGGGATGGATACCCCATTTTCCATGATGTGGTTATTATGCATTGCATGCTTGTATCAAAACATCTCATGTACCCCACAAATATAGACACCTACTATGTACCTACAAAAGATAAAAATTTAAAAAAATGCAGGGTGGTGTATTTTGGCAGGAGATAATACAGACTTACCCTTAGTATATTTATAGTTTTGCTGAGTTTTGTTTTGTTTTTGAAAAACAGGGAATCTCTAATGTTCTCATCTGTCAGAGATGTAGCGGTGAAGTTGGAGAAGTGAGTTTAAAAAGTAGAAGCTATAAAGGAAAACCAGGAGCTTGATTAAGAATTTTCTGTGGAGATAAGAAAAGTGACTCTCCAATTGAGAGATGCAAGATGATCTGCCAAAGTCAGAGATCATAAAGAGGTTGTCAGAAAAATGCATAGCAGCATGTGGGTGCTCTTGGGCCACTCAAGCACCACCTACTTGAGAATACCACCAACCTGTGAGAATGACTTCCAAGGACAATGGCCACAGAGCCTTCCTTCCTTAGACTAGCTCAGCCAAGTCAGAGATGGATACCCCACCTCTGTGCATCTGGTTTTGTTAGTGTACATATTCTCTACTCTGCCATGGGTAGATACTCTGCCATTGGAGTATTGGGGTAGGGTAAGGTGACATAAGGATAAGGGGAGATGGAGAGAGAAGGTCTATATGGTGCTTTTTAGATTTTGTGTCAGTAGGAAAATAATTATTAGTGATTTTAGTAATCTCCCTGAAAAAACAATAGAATTAACTATTTGAAAACCAATGGAAATAGAATCTTGGGACCAAGAAAAGTAGATTCAGCTATAAAATAGATTTCATGCTTGCACAGTTTGCATCAATTTTGCTATCACTGCACTTCTCTCTTTTTGAAATTTCTGTATTTTAAATAAATTTTTAAAATCTTATCACCCTTGGCCGGTTGCAGTGGCTCACACCTGTAATCCTAGCACTTTGGGAGGCTGAGGCTGGCGGATCACCTGAGGTCAGGAGTTCGAGACCAGCGTGGACAACATGGTGAAACCCTGTCTCTACTAAAAAATACAAAAATTAGCCGGGCGTGGTGGTGGGCACCTCCAATCCCATCTACTCAGGAGGCTGAGGCAGGAGAATCGCTTGAACCGGGAGGCGAAGGTTGCAGTGAGCCAAGATTGCACCATTGCACTCCAGCCTGGGTGACAAGAGTGAAATTCCGTCTCAAAAAAAAAAAAAAATCTTATCACCCTTCTTCATTAGCCTGTATTGTGTATTGTTTATATTTCTCTGTGGGCTGTAATCAGATCAGAGGCAGAGGCACACGCTAAATGTTAAAAGTTGCTTTCATCCTGAGTTATATATTTATACAGATGTATCTCATCAGTGTCTTGGAAAGGACCTTCTAGATAATCTTAGATTGGATATCAAATATAGAGAATGGATATCAAATGCACAGCATAGCATAAAATCTTCACTGAGGCACAGCATACATGGTTGACCTGCCCATTTCTGTTGCTGATGTGTGGGCATCCCTGTTTAATCACAGAACTCCTTCTTACTGAGGCTGAGCCTAAGTTCAGAATCCTTTCCAGAATCCTTTCCAGGAAAGTTGGTGTCTTTATCATCTATAATCTAAGCCCAACCTCTACTTTACAGATGGAGGAACTGAGGCCGACATAAAGGTCTCAGTGTGATCCTCTAATGTGATCCAGGTTGTCAACATAAGCCGTGTCCAGAGAGACAATCTAATTCTAACTGCTCGTTTTATAAAAGAGCACATTTGGTCCTCAAGAAGGAAAATGGTTTGCCCCAAAGTAAAGTAATACGCCCAAGGTCACACAGTTAAAGAGCATGAAGCAAGACTTTTTCATTCCAATGGAGAAAATTATCTGCCCATATAAGGGGGAAAAAAACCCAGAAGGAAGAAGCAATGATAACAGCAGAGAATGTCCAGAAGTTACCACAGTGTTCTGAGAAAGGATCACACCAGTGACTTTTGTGCGTTCGTAGTGGTGGTAGCATTCGTAATCATGATCGTGTTCTCATCTCTAGAATGCATCTGCCCTCCAGGAAGACCATTAAGGGGCTGATATTACCAAATGTTTGAGTATAAGCTATTTGAAATCTGAAGATTGGGTGGTGTCTGAGTCTGAGACAGCTTCAGATAAAAATGTTTCTTTCTTTTGCTTTTTTAATTAAAAAAATGGTTTTAATCAGTCTGGGGTTGGGGAACACTTCTTATAAATGGAACAAAGATAAGAAGGATAGAAGGCATCATTACAAATAAGGCAATATGAAAGATATTGGAATGAAATTTTTAATACAAAAAAGGGGAAAAACTTGTAATTTAGAATTTTTATGCCCAGTGAGAATATATGTCAAATATGAATACAAAATAAAGATATTTTCAGGCAATAAAAGCAGAGAATGTTCATCACTAACATACCTTCACTGCAAGAAATGTTGATGAAAGTTCTTTTTTTTTTAACTTTTATTTTAGGTTCAGGGGATACACATGCAGGTTTGTTACATGGGTAAATTGCTTGTCACTGGGTTTGGTGTAAAAATGATTTTGTCACCCAGGTAGTGAGCATAGTACCTGATAGTTTTGGTTTGTTAGTTTGTTTGTGATGGAGTCTTGCCCAGGTAATTTTTGTATTTTTAGAAGAGACAGGGTTTTGCCATGTTGCCCAGGCTGGTCTCAAACTCTTGAGCTCAAGCAATCCTCCTGCCTGAGCCTCCCAAAATGCTGGTATTACAGGTGTGAGCCACCATGCCCAGCCTATTTCTCCTTCTTTTATGAAGCTTAGTTTTGCAGGATATGGAATTCTTCACTGAAATTTCTTTTCTTTAAGGATGCTAAAAATAGGCCCCTAATCTTGCTTGGTTTGTAAGGTTTCTGCTGAGAAGTCTGCTGTTAGTCTGATGAGCTTCCCTTCATAAGTGACCTCAGGCTTTTCTCTAGCTGCCCTTAAGATTTTTTTCTTTCACGTTGACCTTGGAGAATCTTATGACTATGTGTCTTGGGGATAGTTATCTTGTAGTTATCTCACAGGGGTTATTTGCATTTCTTGAATTTGCATGTCAGCCTCTCTAGGGAGATTGGGGAAATTTTCATGGACTATCCTCAAATATGTTTTCCAAGTTACTTATTCTTTCTCCTCTTTCAGGAATGCCCATAAGTTGTAAGTTTGGTATCTTTACATAATTCCATATTTTTTTAGAGGTTTTATTTTTAAATTTTTTTCTTTAGTTTTGTCTGACTGTGTTGATTCAAAGGACTGATCTTTGAGCTCTGAGATTCTTTCCTCAACTTGATCTATTCTGTTGTTAATGCTTCTGAATGTATTACAAAATTCCTATAATGAATTTGTCAATTGCAGAAGTTTCTTTTGGTTCTTTCTTAAAATGGCTATGTTATCTCTGTACTCTTGGATTGCTTTACTGGCTTCCTTGGACTGGGTTTCAACTTTCTCCTGAATGTTCTTGAGCTTCCTTACCTTCCAGATCATGAATTCTATGTCTGTCATTTCAGCCATTTCAATCTGATGAGAGCTAGTATGATTGTTTGGAGGTAAGGAGACATTCTGACTTTTTGAATTGCAAGAATGTGTGCTGATTCTTTCTCATCTAAGACAGCTGGTGTTACTTTATCTTTTTGAAGTTACTATCATTTGGTTTTGACTTTTTGTTTTATTCTTCTTCATTTTCCTTGATATTTTGACAGTGATGTATGTTGAATATAGCTGGCTTTTTTCTGGGTGTTTTCAGAGGGCCAAGTCTCTATGCCAGGTGTTTATTTTTGACTATGTTCCTGCATTGGGTTTCACTGGTAATGTATGCTGAAACAGTATTTGTTTGGCGGTGTAATTCAGGCTGCAATCCAGTGGGCAGTGCTTAATAGTAAAGGCCAGCAGATAGGCTCTTAGCCACACTTAGCTTAAGATTAGGTCCCGATGTGTGATGTTCCCCTTCCTGTGTCCATGTGTTCTCATTATTCAATTCCCACCTATGAGTGAAAACATGCAGTGTTTGGTTTTTTGTCCTTGTGATAGTTTGATAGTTTGCTGAGAATGATGGTTTCCAGCTTCATCCATGTCCCTGCAAAGGGCATGAACTCATCATTTTTTATGGCTGCATAGTATTCCATGGCACCAGGGCCTGTTGTGGGGTGGGGGGAGGGGGGAGGGATAGCATTAGGAGATATACCTAATGTTAAATGACGAGTTAATGGGTGCAGCACATGAACATGGCACATGTATACATATGTAACCTGCACGTTGTGCACATGTACCCCAAAACTTAAAGTATAAAAAAAAAAAAGATTAGGTGACCAGGAGACCTGCAGCTCCCCTGGGGCCCAGTGGTTGTCTGTGCTTGGCAGAGTCAGCGTGGGCTGTGAAGTATATCTGCAAGTGGTCTGTTGATTCAGGATCAAGGGCAGAGGATCCTGGGCATGGCAGTGTTGCTGTGGGTGTGCAGCTGGTCTAGCACCTGCGACCTAGGGTTTCTTGCCAAGCAGATGACTGTGGGGACCACTCAGCTCAGGCTCCCTGACCAGGTTTCTTTCCAGCATTTGCCCCATAGCTGGCCCAACCAGCTAGTTTTGTCTCAAGCCTTCTGCACCCAGATCACTGGTCTGTCAGTTTTTCCCGGACACAAGGCTCCCTTAGGAAGATGTTGTGGCTGACAAACAGGTTACACCTTTCCCTCACCAGTCTTGTAGAGAGAAGCACATCGAGCTCCTGTACCAGCCCAGAAACCCATGCCTCACTTTTCTCAGTGTTCTGAGAGTGGGAGCTTCTCCCCTACTCAGGCCCTGGCCACAGATCTCAGCCCAATATTCCAACTTGTGTGTTCAAACATTTGGGAGTTGGGACCACGCCCAAGGCTTTGTTCTCTGGCCCCTCGTGGTCCAGCACCATTTGTGCCAGGGGGGACAAAGTGCTTCCAGGCCACTGGCAAAGTACTCAGGTGTAGCAGTAGAGGCTGTGCTGTGTGCACACAAGAGTGGCCAGGGTGGAGCCTCGGGATCGGTTGGATAGTGGTGTGCACAGATCAGACACACCCAGGTCCCATGAGGAAGTTAGCTCTGCTCTCTCCCTGCCCAGCAGTCAGCAAGGGCTAGAGCCACTCTGAGCAAGATGGAGAGCCTGCCTTGGTGGATGGGCACCTATGGTTGTGTTTTGCTGCAACTGTCCCACTCACAAAACCTGGGCTCTGCACAGGCTTGAGCTCTGCATCTGCCTACTCTCCAGGCAGCTCCCCCTGTCAATTCAAACGTTCATGTGGGTGATGGGATCTCTTAAAGCTAGGATCCCAGAGGTCCATGGTGGGAGTGTGTCACCTGGCAGTTCCTTCACTCTCTCCTTCCTTACCACCTGTTTAGGGCCAGGATCTGGTCCTGGCACTCAGCAACTCTATAGGGTTCCAAGCTTCCTTCCTCTTCCACCTCTGGATCTGAGTCACCTCTCTATTAACTTTCAGTTTTTTCTCTTAAAAATTCTGTTCAAAGTGGGATAGTTTACTCAATATTTTGGTTTCTCTCAGTAGGAGAGGCACTTCTCCCAGCTGTGTCTGGTTGGCTGTCTTATCCCCCACTTTTGACATTTTAACAATATTAATTCTTCCAATTCATGAATGTGAAATATTTTTACATTTATTTGTGTCTCCAATTTCTTCAATGTTTTCTAAGTTTCTGTGAACAGATCTTTTATATCCTTGGTTAAATTATTTCTAAGAATTTTTTGTACCAATTGTAAATAGTTTCTCTTGATTTCTTTTTCAGATTGTTTTATTGTACTGAAATTCTGCTGATTTTAGCATATTGATTTTGTAACCTGCAACTTTACTGAATTTGTTTATTAGTTCTAACAGGTTTATTTGGTGGAGTCTTTAGTGTTTTCTTTATACAAGATCATGTGTTCTGAAGCAGAGACCATTAACTTCTTCCTTTCTGATTTGGATGACCTTTCTTTCTTTCTTTTGTCTAATTGCTCTGGCTAAGACTTTCAGAACTATGTTGAAAATAAGTGGTAAGAATGAGCATTCTTGTATTATTCTTGATCTTGGAGGAAAAGCTTTCAACTTTTCACCTTTGAGTATGATATCTGTGTTCTTGTCATATAAAGCCTTTATTGTGTTGAGGTACATTCTATATTTATTTGTTGAGAATTTTTATCATGAAAAGATGCTGAATTTTGTTAAATGACTTTTTTGCATCTATTGAATGATCATGTGGTTTTTGTCCTTCATTCTGTTAATGTGGTGCATTGCAGTTATTGACTTACATATGTTGAACCATCCTTGCATACCAGGGACAAGTCCCACTTGACCATAATGAATAATCTTTTTAATGTGCTGCTGAATTCAGTACACTGGTATTTGCTTGAGTATTTTTGCATTTATATTTGTCAGGGATATTGGCCAGTAATTTTCTTTTCTTGTAGTATCCTTATCTGGCTTTGGTATCATGGTAATGCTGGCTTTGTAAAATGAGTTTGGAAGTATTCCCTCCTCTTCAATTTTCTGTAAGAGTTTAAGAAGAATTGATATTAGTTCTTTTTTAAGGGTCTGGGATAATCCAGTCATGAAACCATGTGATTTTCGGCCTTTCTTTGATGGTAAACTTTTTATTACTGATTCAACCTCCTTAGTTGTTATCAATCTGTTCAAGTGTTCTGTTTCTTTATGATTCTGTCTTGATGGTTGTGTGTTTCTAGGAGTTCATTCTTTTCTTCTAGGTTATCCAATTTGTTGGTGTACAATTGTTTATTGTAGCCTCTTAAGATCTTTGTATTTCCACGGTACTAGTTGTAATGTGTCCATTTCATTTCTGATTTTATTTGAGTCTTCTCTCTTTTATCTTAGTCTGGCTAAAGGTTTGTCAATTTTACTTATCTTTTTAAAAACTTAATACTTAATTTGTTGATCTTTTCTACTGTTCTTCTAGTGTTTATTTCATTTATTTCTGTTCTGATCTTTGTTATTTCCTTCCTTCTACTAACTTTGGGCTTAGTTTGTTCTTTTTTTAGTTCCTTGATGTGTAAAGCAGGTTTGTTATTTAGATTTTTTTTTTTTTTTTGGATGAAGGAATTTGTTGGTATAAACTTTCTTCTTAAAACTGCTTTTGCTACACCCCATAAGTTTTGGTATGTTGGGTCTCTATTTTTGTGTGTCTGTGGATAGTTTTAAATTTTCTTTGTAATTTATTCTATAATGCATTAGTTGTTCAGGAGAATGTTGTTTAATTTCTACATATATGTAATTTTCACAATATTTCTATAATCATTAATTTCTAGTTTCATACCAATGTGGTCAGAAAAAAATAGTTGATATGATTTCAGTCTTCTTATTTGTTGAGACTTGTTTTGTGGCCTAACATATGACTTATGCTGGATAATGATTCATGAGCAGTTCAGAAAAACATGTATTCTGCTGCATTTGGATCTACTGTTCTGTCTGTTAGGTCCATTTGGCCTAAAGTGTAGTTTAACTCCATTGTTCTCTTTCTGATCTTCTGCCTGGACGATCTGTTCATTGTTGAACATGGCATATTGACGTCCCCTACTATTATTGCATTGCCATCTATTTCTCCCTTCAGATATATGGATATTTACTTTCTGTATCTAATTGTTCTGATGTTGTATGCATAAATATTTTCAATTGGCATGTGTTCTTGATAAATTGACCCCTTGTCATTATATAACAACCTTCTTTGTATCTTTATATAATTTGTGGCTTAATATCTATTTTATCTGATGTTAAGTATACCTACCCATGCTCTCTTTTGATGTCCATTTGCATGGAATATTTTTCCATCTCTTCACTTTCAACCTATGTGTGCCCTTCAAGGTGATGTGAGTCTCTTGTAGGAGATATATAGTTGGGTCTTTAAAAAAAATTCATTTAGCCACTCTATGTGATTTTATTGGATAATTTAATCCATTTACATTCAATGTAATTATTGATAGATTAGGACTACTGCTGCATTGTTAATTGTTTTCTAGTTGTTTTGTAGATCTTTCATTCCTTTCTTGCTATTTTGCTACCTTCCTTTGTAGTTTGATGATATCCATAGGGCATAATTTAAAGCCTTTTTTTTTTTTTTTGAGATGCAGTTTCACTCTTGTCGCCCAGGCTGGAGTGCAATGGCGCAATCTCAGCTCACTGCAACCTCCACCTCCTGGGTTCAAGCGATTCTCCTGCCTCAGCCTCCCAAATAGCTGGGAATACAGGCACCTGCCACTGTGCCCAGCTAATTTTTGTATTTTTTGGTAGAGATGGGGTTTCACCATGTTGGCCAGACTGGTCTTGGACTCCTGACCTCAGGTGATCCACCTGCCTTGGCCTCCCAAAGTGCTGGGATTTCAGGCATAAGCCACCATGCCTGGCCTAAAACCTTTTTTAAAAAGATCTTTTCTGTATTTGATATAGATTTTGCTTGTGGTTACTATGAGGCTTATATAAAATACACTTATAACAGGCTATTTTAAACTGATAGCAACTTAATTCTGACCACATTAAAGACTCTATACTCTTATTCCACCCCCATTTTTTATGTTTCTGATGTCACAATTTGCATCTGTTTATATTGTGTATTCCTTAACAAATTATTGTAACTATAATTATTTTTAATAGTTTTATTTTTTAGCCTTCATGCTAAGTATATGTGATTTGCATACCACCATTTCAGTATTAGAATATTTTGAATTTGGCTATGTACTTACTCTTACCAATGAGTTTTATACTTTCATATGTTTTCATGTTAATAATTAGCATCCTGTTCTTTCAGCTTACTATTTCTTGTAAGGCAGGTCTAGTGGTGATGAACTTCCTCTGCTTTTTTTTTCTGAGAAAATCGTTATTCTCCTTCATTTCTGAAGTATAGCTTTGCCAGGCAATGTATTCTTGATTGGTAGTTTTTTTTTTTCTTTCAGCACTTTGAATAAAAAAAATGCTACTTTTTCTTGGTCTGCAAGGTTTCTGCTGAGAAATCTAGTAATAACCTTATTTAAATCCCCTTATATTTGATATTTGATATGCTTCTTTCTTCTTGCTGGTTTCAGGAAACTTGTGTCTTTGATTTCTCTTCCCCCTTTGATTTTTGACCATTTGATTATGTCAGCGTAGTTTGATTGAATCTGAATGGAGACCTTGGATCTTATTGTACCTGAATATTTATATCTTTCCCCAGATTTGGAAAGTCTTCTGCTATTATTTTTTAAAATAAGTTTTCTGCTCCTTTATCTGTCTTCTCTTTCTTGAATCTTATAATTTGAGTATTTGCTCTTTTGATGCTGTCCCACAAATTCCATAAGCTTTCTTCATTCCTTTTCATTTTTCCCCTCTGTATATTTTTAATTAAACTATAAGTTCACAGATTCTTTCTTCTGTTTAAATAAGTCTGCTGTTGATACTCTGTATTGCATTTTCCATTTCATTCATTGTACCCTTCAGCTCAAATATTTCTTCTTTTATGACTTCAGTGTCTCTGTTGAATTTCTAATTTTATTTGATTATTATTTTCCTGATTTTTATTGCATTGTTTGTATTTTCTTGAAGTCACTCGGTTTCTTTGTCATGCCGTTCATATATCTCCATTTCTTTGTGGTCAGCTACTGGTAAATTATTGTAATCTTTTGATGGTGATATGTCTCCTTGTTTTTTTATGTTTCTTGTTTCCTTATGTGATATTTGAGCATTTAATGAAATAGTCACCCCTTGCAGATTTTATAGGCTGGATTTGCTTTGGAAAGTCCTTCCTTTGTGGGTGTGAGGTTACTTGCTGGGTGAGGTGGTACGATTCTGACAACAGTGATGGTGCAACTATGTCAGCTGAGTTCAGTGTTGATGATAATTGCAAGTGCCCTCAGCAGTCAATACTGTGCATATCTGTGGTGGCAACAAGGGCTGTTTTGAGTCTTCAGTGGTAATGGCTGCTCCTGATCTCTTTCTCTCCCACCAGGAAATTGTCACTGAGGGGTTCTCTCATGGCATTGGTCTAGCTCATGGTAGCAGTGACATCATTGTCTAATAAGTGGTGCTTGTGGAGTAACTTCAGAGCTGAGGCTTGAAGCATGGACACACATGGAAGGGATAAGGCTCTGTATTCCAGAGCAGTAATAGCACTGATGCCTGGGGTGCTGGCATTCTGACTGCTGCATTGGTAATGATATGTGAGGTACAAGTGTTTGTAGTGAAGCCAGGGAACTGAGGATAGCAGCAGAGAATGTATAGAGTTTCAATGGTTCCAGGGTCTATAGTGATAGCCACAGTTTCATTGCTGATATTGGTGAATTGAGAATTTTTCAATATCATTGATTTCTAAGGAACCAGCTTTTTATGTTTTTCTTGTTTTCTTGTTCTTCATTTTATTTGTTTCTGCTCTTATATTTATTATTTTATTTCTTCCGCTTGCTTTGGGTTATTTTGCTCTTTTTTTCTAGTTTTGAGATAGGATCTTAGATTATTGGAATATTTCTTTTTTATAATAAGTGTTTAGTGCTATAAATTTTCTTCTAATTACCTCTTTAGCTGTAGCCCACATACTTTGGTAGAGTCTATTTTATTTTTTATTCGGTTCAAACGTATTTTTACTTTCTTTGAGACCTCCTGTTTGTCCCATGGATTATGTAGAAGTGTGTTTTATGATTTCCCAAGAGTTTGGAGAATTCCTGTTTATAGTGTTGTTCAGTTTTTCTGTATTCTTGCTGTGTACTACTTCTATCAACTGTTGAGAGTTGGATGTTAAAATCCTAAGTAGAATTGTGGATTTTTTCTATTTCTACTTTCAATTCTGGACATTTTTATCTTGTGATTTTTGTTTTGAGATGGAGTCTTACTTTGTCACTCAGGTTGTAGTGCAGTGGGCTGATCTCAGCTCACTGCAACCTCTGCCCCACGGGTTCAAGCAATTCTCCTGCTTCAGCCTCCCGAGTAGCTGGGACTACAGGCACGTGCTACCACGCCTGGCTAATTTTTTATATTTTTAGTAGAGATGGGGTTTTACCATGTTGGCCAGGCTGGTCTCGAACTCCTGACCTCAGGTGATCCGCCTGCCTCGGCTTCCCAAAGTGCTGGGATTATAAGCATAAGCCACCATTCCCGGCCTCAATTCTGGACATTTTTCTTCTGTGTTTTTTGCGGCTATAATTTTTGGTAATATTCATTTATGATTATTATGTCTTCCTGGTGGATTAACTTTTTAAAATCATTATGTGAGTCCTTCTGTGCCTCTAATCATGTTCTTTGCTCCAAAATTTATTTATCTGGTATTAATATAGCCACTCCTGATTTTTGTATAAAGTTTGCATGTATCTTTTTTCATCCTGTTACTTTTTTTTTAATCCTTTTAATTTACCTAAGTCATTGTATTTGAAATGAGTTTTTGTAGATAATATGTTTTTGTAGCATGTTTTTTTCATTTATTTCAGTATCTTTCTTAAAATTGGTGAATTTTGGTCATACACATCTGAGGTAATTATTGTTTTTTCAGGGCTTAAACCTGCCAATTTATTATTTGTCTAGACTTAGGCTAGATTTATTTCCATTGATTTTGAGTATATCACTTTGTATAGTTTTTTTAGTGTTAGCTCTAGGTATTATAAGGTACTTATCATCATCTACTGACATAGACATTTCAGCACTTCAAGTGAACTGTAGAACTTTTCTACAATTATGTCTCTTACCTCTCCACCTTTAAGGTACATTTATTTTAAATATTTCCTGTACACACATTGAACACCTCATTACTTGGTATTATAATTTTTGCCTCAACCATCAAATGTTATGTAAGAAACTCATAGGAAGTATAGTATATTGTAGTAATTTTATTTTTCCCTATACTGATGTTCTGTCTGAAGGTGTAGACACCTTTGTCTTTATTATTACCTGTCTTATGAGAGAACTTTATTTACCCATTCTTTAATGATAGATTTGTTGGCAACAAATTCTTCATTTTACTTTGTATAAGAATGTCTTTATTTTTCCTTCATTCCTGAAAGATTCTGTCACCAGATATAGAATTTACAGTTAAGCTTCCCTTTTTTTTTTTAAACCTTTTATTTTAAGTTCAGTGGTACAAGTGCAGGCTTGTTACATAGGTAAACTTGTGTCATGGGGGTTTGTTGTACAGATTATTTCATCACCCAGGTACTAAGCCTAGTACCCATGAGTTATTTTTCCTGATTCTCTCCCTTTTCCCACCTTCCACCCTCCGAAAGGCCCCAGTGTTTGTTGTTTCCTGCTATGTGTCCAAGTTTTCTCATCACTTAGCTGCCACTTATAAATGAGAACATGCAGTATTTCGTTTTCTGTTCCTGTGTTGGCTTGGTAAGAATAATGGCTTCCGGCTCCATCCATGTCCCTGCAAAGGACATGATCTTGTTCTTTTTAATGGCTGCATAGCTTTCCATGGTGTATATGTAACACATTTTCTTTATCCAGTCTATGATTGATGAGCATTTAGATTGATTCCATGTCTTTGCTTTTGTGAATAATGCTGCAATGAACATATGCATGCATGTATGTTTACAATAGAATGATTTATATTCCTTTGGTTATATACCCAGTGATAGGATTGCTGAGTCAAATGGTATTTCTGTATTTAGGTCTTTGAGGAATCACCACACTGTCTTCCACAATGGTTGAAGGAATTTACACTCCCACCAACCAATAATAACCATTCTGACTGGTGTTAGGTGGTATCTCATTGTGGTTTTGATTTTCATTTCTCTAATGATCAGTGATGTTGAGGTTTTTTCATGTGATTGTTGGTCACGTGTATGTCTTCTTTTGAAAAGTGTCTGTTCATGTATTTTGCCCACTTTTTTATGGGTTTTTTTTCTTGTAAATTAGTTTAAGTTCCTTATAGATGCTGAATATTAGACCTTTGTTGGATGCATAGTTTGCAAAAGTTTACTCCCATTCTATAGGTTGTCAGTTTACTCTGTTGATAGTTTCCTTTGCTGTGCAGAAGCTTTTTACTTTAGCTTAATTAGTTTAATTTAGCTTTTCAGTTTAATTAGATCCCATTTGTCCATTTTTGCTTTTGTTGCAATTGCTTTTGGTGTTTTCATTATGAATCCTTTGCCCATGCCTGTGTACTGAATGCTATTGCCTAGGTTGTCTTCTAGGGTTTTTAAATTTTTTGGTTTTACATTTAAGTCTTTTAATCCATCTTGAGTTAATATTTGTATATGGTGTAAGGAAGGGATCCAGTTTCAATATACTGCATATGGCTGGCCAGTTATCTCAGCACCATTTATTGAATAGGGAATCTTTTCTCCATTGCTTCTTTTTGGTCACCTTCATTGAAGATTAGATAGTTGTAGGTGTGTGGTCTTATTTCTGGGTTCTCTATTCTGTTCCATTGGTCTATGCATCTGTTTTTGTACCATGACCATACTGTTTTGGTTACTGTAGCCCTATAATATAGTTTTAAGTTGGGTAGCATAGTGCCTCCAGCATTGTTCTTTCTACTTAGGATTGCCTTGGCTATTCGGGCTCTTTTTTGGTTCCATATGAATTTTAAAATAGTTTTTTTCTAGTTCTGTGAAGAATGTCAATGGTAGTTTAATAGGAATAGCATTGAATCTATAAATTGCTTTGGGCAGTATGGCCATTTTAATGACATTGATTCTAGGAAGAATCAATCCATTCTAGGAAGAATTCATGAGTATGGAATGTTTTTCCATTGGTCTTTGTCATCTCTGATTTTTTTGAGCAGTGGTTTGCAGTTCTCCCTGTAGAGATCTTTCACCTCCCTAGTTAGCTGTATGCCTAGGTATTTTATTCTTTTTGTGGCAATTGTGAATGAGAATTCCTGATTTGGCTCTTGGCTTGACTGTTGGTGTATAGGAATGCTAGTGATTTTCACACTTTGATTTTGTATCCTGAGACTTTGCTGAAGTTGTTTATCAGCTTAAGAAGCTTTTGAGCTGAGACTATGGGGTTTTCTAGATATAGGATCATGTGATCTGCAAACAGGGATAGTTTGACTTCCTCTCTTCTCATTTGGATGCACTTTATTTTTTTCTCTTGCCTGATTGCCCTGGCCAGAACTTCCAATACTATGTTGAATAAAAGTGGTGAATGAGGACATCCTTTTCTTGTGCTGGTTTTCAAGGGGAATGCTTCATCTTTTGCCCATTCAGTATGATGTTGGCTGTGGGTTTGTCATATCTCTAATAACTTGATAAATGTTGTGCCACAATAGTTTTGGTCTATATGGTTTCAGAGGCAAAATCCACTGTCATTTAAATTGGCATTCCCCTATAAGTAATGTGTTGTTTCCCTCTGTTTGCTTTAAAATTTTTTTCTTTGTCTTTAGGTTTCAGTAGTTTATTAGGTTGTGTCTTGGCATACATTTCTTTGGATTTTCCTATTTGGATTTGCTCATCTTCTTGAATCTGTAGGTTTTTGCCTTTTGCCACATTTGGGACTACTTCAGCTGACATTCTTTTCAAATACTTCTTATGTCCAACCCTCTCTATCCCCTCCCCCTGGACTGGGATAATTTCAACTTTTGATATTGTTGCATGGGGTAACAGACACAGAAGGATGCTTTTTTCTGTTCTGCATTGGAATATTTGTAGCACCTGTCCTGGATATATGCAAGACAATAAGGAAACCCAGAGAACTGAGACCCATGGAGTTCCTTAAGTCTTGAGGACTATAAGTAGTCCACTGTATTCTTTCCACATTTCAGAGTATTCCTATGCTTGTTTATTGTATTATGT
This sequence comes from Homo sapiens, assembly GCF_000001405.40. Classification (NCBI taxonomy): domain Eukaryota; kingdom Metazoa; phylum Chordata; class Mammalia; order Primates; family Hominidae; genus Homo; species Homo sapiens. The sequence goes on along the minus strand of NC_000020.11, from coordinate 70,079 downwards.
TCAGGATTTTTGAGAGGTAAAAGGGAGGACTTAGGAAAAATGCCCTATTTCATCTTAGTGGATCTGGAAGTCAATTTTATTTGCTTTGTTTTTGTTTTTCCTATCACACTCTTAGTGGACAGGTTCAATTTGATAACTCATTTTTTTTTATTTCTGTAAATTTTTCTTTCTTGTTTAAGTACTTCTTCCACTCCATTCTATCATTTTCCCCTCTTTACTCTCCTATTTAATTGATTTAGAAAGTTCTTGATCTGTTCCTCATACTTCTTAACATTTTTTCATACTTTCTATTCTATTTCCTCCTTTTTAATCTGCATTTTTTCCATCCAGCTTTTCCTAATAAGTTACTCTCTAGCTGGCTTTATTACAAAATTAACATACATATTAAAGTTTATACTTTAACAGTTATGTTTTTAATCACTAATATCTCAATACTGGTCCTTTTCATGAGCACCTGGTTTATTTCATGGATGTACTATCCTCTTATCCTTTTGAATATATTAATTACATGCCTAATTAATGAGGGGGAGAGTGGGAGCTATTGTTCTCTTATATTCTGCACTATTTTTAGTAAGAGGAAGTTAGAGATAAAGGCTGCTTAGTGATGTTACTTGGGACCTGTTCTGGGCATGTCAGCCATCCAAGCTCCACCACTGCTGCTTTTTGGAGACAGACGCTACTTTCCCTTTCTCTGTTTCAGTGTCTCATGGAGAGGGCTTTATATGCTCATTTCAAACTGCAGCATTCTACTTCGGTATTCCAGTTAATTTCCTGTTGTTGGTCCCACAGCATCTCCTCCTCCAAACATGTGTCATCTCTGTGGATAGAGCACCTTCTCCACTTCCTACAGTTGCACTCTGTCATAATCCTCCTAGGTTTCAGAATATCTTTTCAATCTGATCTCATCAATGTTATGTTTTCAAAAACATTCTCTGCTTCAATGATATTCCTATCAAATATGTTTAAGCATGGTTTTATATTAATTTACTTGTATTTATGTTTTTTTCTGTTTGTTTTTTATAAAAAGAGACAGGTTCTCGCTATGTTGGCCAGGTGGATCTTGAACTCTTGGCCTCAAGCAACCCTCCTGCCTTGGCCAACAAGAGTGCTAGGATTACAGGCATAAGCCACTATGCCCAGCCTGTTTTTATGTTTTCATTGTCATTTCTAGAATACTCGAGTGAAAGATAAGACTTCAGTGCATGTACAGTCCACTATTACCCGCCACCTTTTCTAGATTTTTATTAAAGAAAGTGTTTAATTTTTATATTAATGTTACACCCAGAAATCTTACAAAATTATTTTATTCTAAAATCTTCTCATTTATCTTTTGGCTCTTCAACTGCTTTATTATTTACATTTAACTCTTAATCAATATAAAATTAATTTTGGTAAAAGGATGAAGGAAATTAAAGTGCTGAAACTGAAAGCGGGTGACTATTATAATCTTCTCTTATAAGATCAATAATACATGGAATAAAGAATCACCTAATTTTTCCAGTTTCTTCTAATTTATCATTAATGATGAAGTTTCTTTTATTTATTTTATTCTGACAGAAATAAACCTCGTTCAATTTTAAAATATATGAAAAGACAGGCAAGCTAAAATAAATTGAGTAACTTCCCCCAAAGTATCGTTTACACCCTAATATAGAGTATTATGTGTGTGTATGTAGATAATAATGATACATTCATGTTTTTATTCTTTCAACAAGTATTTATTGAGTACCTACTTCTACCTATTCGGGTCAAGGAGCTAGAGACAAAGTAGTCATAAAAACAGAAATAGTTGATGAAGTTTAACACACAAGAAAATAAAACGTCAGATCTGTTACCTCAAGAAATATGCACAGAATAGACTCTAGATATCTAATTTTTGGTTTTAGTTTGTTTTCAAAATTGAAATGATACTCTTTCTAAAGTTATTAAGTTACATTTCTTCACTTAATAATATATCATAACCTTTCACATAAAGGTGCCCTAAAATAATTGATAGCCCCTCATATTTAACTGAAGACACTAAAGAAAATGAAAACGAAGAAAGAAAACAACACTTTTATAACTTTAAGAAAAGACCATATCTCTTTTTTTAAGTTCAGGGGTACATGTACAGGTTTGTTACATAGCTAAACTTGTGTCATGGGGGTTTGTTCAGATTATCTCATCACCCAGGTATTAAGCCTGGTACCCATTGTTTATCTTTCCTGATCCTCTATGCACGCGTATGTTCATTGCAGCACTATTCCCAATATAAAAGACAGAATCAACCTAAATGCCCATCAATGATAGATTGGAGAAAGGGCTATATTTCTAAATCACATTTGATCTATAATACATAATCTATTCACAAGTACAATAGGCTGAAACATAAAACATGAAAAATGTTGCCTTTTATAAATTAGGGGTTTATTATTCTTATATAACATAAAATCAAGGAATGCTATAATAGCTTCACAATGATATCAAGTATGAGGCAATTTCTAGTCTTTTTAAAATACATTCCTAGACTGTGCTTTTGCTGAATGTTTGCAAGATGGCTGCATTGACTCCAACATTTTGACCATGCTTCATGCAGAAGAAAGCAGAAAGGCAAAGGCTAATGGATAATGCCTCTTAACTACTTTTTTCCTCTCTTTTAAGGTTCTTACCAGATGCCCCACCAAAAATATTATGCTTAATATCATTGACCATAACTGCATCACATTTCACCACTGTGGATTTGCAAGGTTTGGAAAAGTGGTTTTACATGGACATACTGCTTCACCCAAACTGTCATTCTGACTCCACTGGAGTGGAGTGGAGTGGATTGGAATGGAATGGAGAGGAGTGGAATGCAGTGGAGTGGGGTGTAATGGAAAGGAGTGGCATGGAATGGAATGGAGTGGAGAGGAATGGAATGTAGTGGAGTGGAATGGAGTGGATGGGAGCAGAATGGAGTGGAGTCGAATGGAGTGGAGTCCAGAGGAATGGAGTGGATTGGAATGGAATGAAGTGGAATGTAATGGAGTGGAGTGGAGTGGAATGGAGTGGTAAGGAGTAGAGTGGAGTGGAGATGAGTGGAATGGAGTGGAGTAGAGTGGAGTGGAATGGAATGGAGTGGAGTGGAATAGAGTGGAGTTTAGTGGAATGGACTGGAATGGAATGGAGTGGAGTTTAATACAGTGGAATAGAGTGGAGTGGAGTGGAAAGGAATGGAGTGGGGTGGAATGGAATTGACTGGAGAGGATTGGAAAGGAAAGGAGGGGAGCGGAGTGGAATGGAGAAGAAAGGAGTGGTAAGGAGTGGAGTGGTATGCAATGGAGTGGAGTGGAGTGGATAGGGATGGAGTGGAGTGGAGTGGAATGGAGTGGAAAGGAGGGGAAATAAGTGGAGTGGAATTGAAGGGAATGGAATTGAGTGGAATGGAATGGAGTGATATGGAATGGAATGGAGTGGAATGGAATTTCATGGAATGGAGTGCAGTGGAATGGACTGGAGTGGAATCGAGTGGAGTGGACTGGAATGGAGTGGAGTGGAATGGATTGGATGGGAATGGAGTGGAATGGAGTGGAATGGAATGGAATGGATTGGAGTGGAGTGGAATGGAGTGGAGTGGAATGGAGTGAGTGGAGTGGAATGGAGTGGAGTGGAATAGAATGGGGTGGAGAGGAATAGAATGGAGTGGACTGGAGACGAGTGGATTGGAGTGGAATCGAGTGGAATGGCATTGAGTGGAGCGGATTGGAGTGGAGTGGAGTACAGTGG